>NC_000004.12:149224411-149527441 GCF_000001405.40 Homo sapiens | reverse complement strand
GAAGGAAGAGCTCTTGTTAGGTGCCATCCTCATGACTTAATTTAAACTTAATTACCTCCCAAAAGCCACCTGCTAATACTATCACATTGGGGGTTGAAGTGTCAACATATGAATTTGGGGAAAGGCACAAACATTTAATCCATAATAAGAGGGAAATACATGTCACATATAAAGCAACACATCTTCAGGTTCATAAATAGTAGTCACTTCATATCCTTAGTCTTTCTTATTCTTGTGAAAAAGATTCAACTATTAAATCTGCTTTGGTATGTGTGGCCAGCACCATGCTTAGTTTAGTGCTTGATAGTTTATGGGAACGATAATCATGATATTTTTATAGCAAGTTGATATGCTGATTCCCGTTAGTTCTCGCTGAGATAATAATTCCAGGAGTCAGATAGGAAAGTATTTTGGCATGTAACTAGAATTCCTCTTGCTGTACTGATCTGTAAATGTCCTGTAAACTGACTATATATTATTACTTTTCCAAGAGGCTATAAAAATAAATAATGGAATATATTATTTAAAAATTTTTGTAATAAATTATTTCCTTAAAATGGAATAAAACATTCATTAATAAGCAAAATATATAGGAAACAACAACAAAATAAAAATTATGCAAGGTAATTTTTTAAATTCTGGATAGTAATATGTTGCATTCACAGTTTACATATTTAAAATATTGCCATAAAATATTTTTTCATAGAACTTTCTAGTTTTACTATTTACACATTTGTTCATTGTCAAAAACAATATCAGCTCATTTTAGTTCTGTTGAGAGCATTTTATCATTATAGTATATTTATACATTAAACATGGATTAATCTGTCATGATGATTGCACAGACAAGTAGGTTTCATTTGTCTAGATTAAATTTCCATTTGTGTAATGTAAGCAGGCTGCAAATTATTTGAGGAGCCATTTTTTACATTTTTATAGCTCTTTGAAATTTTTCACAGTGAAAAGAACTTTTTTGATGATATAAATAATATATTTTTGTAAAATTAAAAAATATTCAGTGCTCTTCTTCTTGCTTATATATGCATATGAAAGTACATGTTTATGGTCATTGTTTATTACACTGTCTGGAATCGCCATGAGAATCTTCTAACCCGTTTCAATGTCTTCATAATGTTCCATGATATAAATATACCCCATTCTATTCAGTCATTCTCCAGTTAGTCAGAATTTACTTTGTTTATAGTTTGGTGCCCTTACAAACATCTTTTTGGATTGGTGCTTCTATTTTTATGAAACAGATTTATAAGAGTAAAATTGTTGGATAAAAGTGTATAAATATTTTTAATTTTGATTGATATCTCCAGAATGATTATCAATTCAAATTTCTCAGCAAAATTGAGCACATCTTTTTATTTCTAAATTCCCAATGGTAGATGTATTTGCCAATGTGATGAGTGTGAAATGATTTACACTTACTTTAATTTACATTTCTGTGATATATAGTTGCTCTTCATATATACGTAGCTCTTCTATGGATTGCCTATTTATAATTTTTGTCTATTTTTTAATTTTTTATTTGTCTTTTTCTTACTGATGCACATTTTACCCTATTTATATATTAATCCTTCACTTGTCATTTATTTTACAACAATGTACCAGTCATTTAATTATGACCTTTGTTTATGTTATCTTTGGTAATATGAAATCTTTAAATTTCTATGTAGTTAGTGTATATTTACACTTTTGGTTTACCTTTTTTTGGTTAAAAACATTTTTCAAACTCCAAGGTACACATAGAACCTATTAATGTTTTCTTCTAAAATTATTATTTTACAAACCTTTAATACATCTGGAACTTATATCTGAAGGTGGTGTGAGTAGAGGTCCAACTTATTTTTCTTCCAGCTAGATATTTGTGTATATCAATATCATTTACTGTCTTTTGACCACTAAGTGGAAATAATTCTTTGTACATTAAATTCTCATATATGCTTAAATCTAGTTAAGGGCCCTTTGTTCTGTTGTATTTATCCATGTGTCTGTTATAAAGTTTTTGGTAGGATTGACTGCTTGATTCAATCTATTGCCAGTTTAACATTTATGAATCACATATTTTTGTTTTAATATTTTGATTTAATACATTTTATTAGCAGATTTGCTGGCATTGTAGTGACTTTCCTAAAATAAATATACTTTTTTATAGTGAAAATCTTGCTACATTCTATTTTGTAATATTTTACGTAGAATGTTTCATCTACTTTCATAAATGAAGCTAGTCTGTGATATTTCGATAACTTCAAATTTTGCAGTTGAGATTATGTTGGTTTCATAAAATAAAGATTTTTCTGTGATCTCCTAGGGTTGAGGAAAGTTTAATTAAAATACTGGAATTATTTTTCCTTAAAGATTAGGTAAAATTTAGGTAGGAACATTGGGTTCCAGTGCTTCTTTGAAAGGAAAATCATTGATCCCTGTTTCAATTGACTTTAAAGTTATTGCTTTATTCAAATATCCAATTTTTTTGATTAATAGTGGTACTTTATGGTACCACTATTGGTTTATATTAGTTTTAGGAAATTTTTAATTTATTATAGGTTTATAAGTATATTACAATAAAATTGTTTTTCATGTTCTCATAATTTATTTTAATATTTTCTCTACAGATGGTTATGTCTCTTTTCATTCTTATTGTCTTGTATGTCTTCTCTACTCTTCCTTTGAAAGCTTGCAAAGATTTTCTATGGGATTAATTATTTTAAACCACTAGGATTTGAATTTACACTCTTTTATTTTCTGTTTTCTTTTGTATTCATGTCAGCTTCTACCATTACTAATTTTATTTTTTGCTTATTTTATTATTTAAATTTTAAAGAGGTGTATTAAGTTCCTTTATTTGTAGTTGTTCTCCCTTTACAATGCTACAAATTTGTTCTAGCTATCACTCTAGTTCTCCTAATTTTTTTGGTGTGAAGTATTCATTTTTCACTCTTCTCTAAGAGAGTTCTAATTTTAGTTTCTTTATTTTAAATGTTTCTTTAATGAGGCATAACTTACCTACTCTTAAATTTACAGCTCTTAAGTCTTAAATCTTACAGTGCACAAATCTTAAGTTACAGCTGGATGAATTTTACATATCTGTACTGTACATTTGTGTAGCCACCATTTAGATGAACATATAGAACATTTTCATTGCCCCAGAAAATTTCCTGTGCTGCTCCTCAGTCAGTACACCACTCCAAGAGATAACCACCAAATTGACTTGTATTACCATAGAATAATTTGTCAACTTCTTGTTAGGGGAATCATACAGCATCTGCTCTTTTCTGTCTGACTTCCTTCACTTTTAACATTTCTGGGAGTCATCTATGTGGTATATAACAGTATTACATTTTAAAAATTGTTATTTGGATTTCCAAATAAAATTGTTATTTGAATTTATCTATCATAAATTATTCATTCTCTTGTTGATGGACATTTGATATATTTCCTGGTTAGGGTTATTATACACAAAGCTGTTATAAACACTATATATGCAATTATGTATGAACAAGTTACTATTTCCACCCACTCTTCAGTCTAGAATGCGTTTACTCTGCCCTTTTCCTTTGGTTTTGCAGAGAAAGTTAATTATTTTTACTTGAAGATCATTGGATTTTTCTTTATATTATTAATATTCCATTTCCAGAATTCTTATTTGGAACTTACTTTGTGTATAATTCCAGTCTCTTTCTCATTTTCCATTTTGATATAAATCTATCAGTCAGTCAACCAATCAGTTCATCAATTGATCCAGCTATCCACCCATCCATCTACCTATAAATATTGATGTAGATATTCCAGTGAATGATTATTGCTCACCTTTGTCTGCTCTCCTCTTTGTCTTTCTGTCTTGCGGTTTTTCTTCTGATTTATTTTTTGTTGATCATCATGCTCAGCTGGAATACTTGGGTATGTAGTCTCAAAATACTGACTTTCCATAAACATATTTATTTTTATATTTATATATTTACTTTTATGTGACATGTGAACTGTCCTTGTTTGTGTAAATATGTTTGGTTGTATTCCTTTCTCCTGACAACCTGAGGATTTTTTTCAACTGTCTTTTAACTTCCTATGTTGTTGATGAGAAATTCAATACTTTGTCTGATGCTTTTTTCTTTGTAATTGCATGCTATGGACTGAATGTATTTCCCCAAAATTTGTATGCTGTAACCCTAATCCCCAGTGTGATGGTATTTGGAGATGGGCCTTTGGGAGGTAATTGGGTTGTGAGGGTGAGTCATGATGGGATTAGTGCTTTTATAAGAAGAGACAGGAGAGCGCTTGCTTCCTCTCTCTCTGCTGTCTGCCATGTGAGGATACGAGTATAAGGCAGTTTTCTATAAACCAGGAAGCAATTGCTCCCTCACTAGATACTTAATCTGCTAGTGACTTGATCTTGGACTTCCCAGCCTCTCCAGAATCATGAGAAATAAATATTTGTCATTTAATCCACTCAGTCTGTGGTATTTTTGTTATAGTAGTCTGAGCTGACTAAGATATCATAGTTTTCAGTCTGGAATCATGTACAAATTTTTTCTTTTATCTTTGGGGTTCAGGAATTTTACCAGGATATACCTATTTTGTGTATTTTCTTATAGTCCCAATAGGAACTCTGGAGCTTTATAAATTCTTTCAACTTGTACATTCAAGTTTGGATTAATTCAAGCAATATAATTTTCTATCAGTTGATTAATTACCCTTCCTTCTGTAGTTACTTTTTTCTTATAAAACCTCAATTTCTGTGTTATATTTTTTGGATCTGTTGATATGTTGCTTATCTTTACTCTGGAGATATTAATTCCTCCTTCTCCCCACTTTTTCCCCCTCTATGTCTTGAATTATTTCCTCCTCTGTATCTTCTAGGCTACTAAATCAGGCTTTAATGATTATCCTCTTTTTACAATGTATTCACTGAATTATTAAAGTAGAAAATCATATTTGTGTTGTTGTAGAAAGTCTTTTTGGTCTTTAATGGTATGTTTTCTTACGTTATTTTGTTCAAGTGCTATTCTGTCTCCATCTCTTCTATTCTGATAGGAGCCATCTGTTTTGGGTGTTCTGTTTCTTCTTCTACTTGACTCTTGGGTTCCTGGAGCATAGCATTATTTTCCTTTGCATACTTATGGTCCTTTATATCTTGGCAGACAGGGCCAGCTACTGGTTACTTTAAGCTGTGGCAATCTGGATAGTGGTGGGGTGAGCAGCTGTCCTGCCCTATGAATTGGCAGGGACTGGCTGGTAGTGACAGGAAAGGTTCCAGAGGAACTAGAATAACTCTGTCTGTTCCATGGTAGTCTTAACAGCAGAGGCTCTCTTAGCATCAGATGTCAGAAACTCTGGGATTATCTGCTGGCTCCCCTGTAACACCCCCAGTGAGAGGGAGACTAGCATATGCTCCCTGGAATTGGCAGCCTTTTGTTTCTAAGTTTTGTATCACTACTGGTGCAGCTCTGTCAGAATAAGGGGTGGTGTTTTGGTCCTTGTCCCAGGAACCTCCCCTCAGCATTCAGTGTTTCTTGCGTTGGATGCAGGTGTCAGATCTACTGAGCCCTGGCCTGAGCCCCGGATTTACTCATGCTCTCCAGGCCCATCTTGTCTGGAGACAAAGCAAGCATTCCAGTCAGTTGGATGGCAGTGGGAGAGGACTGCAGGCATGAGTCCAAAGGCCAATATAACCTGACTCATTACCTTCATTTCCCAAGCTGGAACTGAGATACTATTAAATTCATGTTTGTCTCAGTCACACCCAATTAGTCCAGTGAAGCCTTTAATGCTGTCGCTGTTAGATACTTAAGTAATAGCTTATGCTTTGGAGAAAGCTTGGTCAAATTATTGTCTAAAGGGTCAATTCATTTCAAGACTCCTCAACTGAATGACATCTGGATTACATTTTGACATAAAACATCTGACCTATTCTGAGGAAGCTTGAATGATTCAAATATTTAAACTGAACTAAACAATTACTAAAAGTAGATTGATTTTTCTGTCTCTGAAACAAAAACTGATTTTTTTTATGGAAATTGTGAGTAGGTAATAATTTGCATGGTAGAAAAAAGAGGAGAACATTTTTTAAATGCATTTTTCCTTTTATTTTTCCCCTCCCTCCCTTCCGCTTACCTTGCCTTGACTTCCTCCCTTCCTTCCTTTTTTCCTTTCTTTCCTTGTTTTTGTTCTCCTTCTCTTCCTTTCAAATGCATGGGGGCTAAGAAAGATGAAAAGGAGGAAATGAGCTCACAGACTAATTCTTTGTCACCTCTTGTTCTCCAAGTAATAACCTGATTTAAGGCCTTGTTTAAAGAGGGTCTGTGACCATGAACAGAAAGAACTATTCATGAATAATTTGATGACACTTTGGGTAAGAACAGATTCTTATGGACCCAAGTGAGAAACTGCAGAAAAGAGTGGGTTAGCTAGCTGTCCTGTTTTAGCTCTGCATCATCACAGAACTCAGGGTAGTTTGGGATCCTGCATAGAAGCCACCAGCAGAGTGTTGCTGTGCACAGCAGAGCAGCGAGAGAGGCTGGGGTGCTTGAGAGAGTGCAGTTCCTATTGGGCATATGAGATAGGAACAGTGTCCCTGCAAAGTAGGAGGCAAGGTGGAAGAGCTAGAAAGCATTTTGTCTACAGGTATGTGGTATATCTTCTGGAGACTCTAACATAACTGGGAAAGACTTTGAGGGAAGTATGATGTCTTGGCATTATCCAGATGGTAACTAGAATTTGTTCATTGAAGCTAATGAGACTGCATTTTTGCTGACAGGTTAGTGACATCTGGAGCATTCAAATTACATTTCTATAATAAGGAAAAAAACACCTGGTATATGACTAGCCCCTTGAGATGGTACATTTTAACTTTATTCACTGTTCTTAGCAACAGTTTCTTCATTTTCCCCTTTTTCATCCTCAGCACTGCTAGCTTTCTGCCAAGGAGGCAGTATTGTGTTGTTGATAAGGATTTGGGTTCTGGGTAGGCTAATGATGTAATTCATCATCACAAATAGGACATTTTGAGAATTAAAGGACAAGCCAGTAATAATTACCCTGGGACAACAGGCAAAATGGTGAACCACCCAGGAAAACAGGAACGTGTTCTTCATTGAGGTCTGGAGTCAGCCATGTGGGTTTGAGCTCTGCATCTACCATTTATGGGAGCCAGGGTGCATTACTCAAACTTCCTTTGCTCTGATTTTCTTACCTGCAAAAAAAAAAAAAAAAAAAATGGTGCCCACCTTATATACGGTTTTTTGTGGAATAAAAAAATTAATATACAGAAAGTACTTCAAGCCATGCCTGGGCTATAGATAAGCACTTTAAAATGTTAACCATTATTACCCTACCATTATTATTTAGTGGGCATTCTTAACCGATTGTACTACATATTGTTTAATGGATATAAAATAGGATAGTGGTTTTATTTTTGTTTTTGTTTTCTTTGAGACAGAGTCTCGCTGTGTCTCCCAGGCTGGAGTGCAGTGGCGTGATCTCACCTCACTACAAGCTCTGCCTCCCAGGTTCATGCCATTCTCCTGCCTCAGCCCCCTGAGTAGCTGGGACTACAGGCACCCGCCACCACGCCCAGCTATTTTTTTTGTATTTTTAGTAGAGACAGGGTTTCACCGTGTTAGCCAGGAAGGTCTTGATCTCCTGACCTCGTGATCCACTCGCTTCAGCCTCCCAAAGTGCTGGGATTACAGGCATGAGTCACCATGCCCAGCCCAAAACAGGATACTGTTTTAAAAGCATGACACATATATTAAGAGGCACATTTTTAAGAAAGCAATCTTTTTTTTTTTGAGACAGAGTCTCGCTCTGTTGCCCAGGCTGGAGCGCAGTGGCGCAATCTGGGCTCATTGCAAGCTCTGCCTCTCGGGTTCACGCCTCCTGGGTTCATGCCATTCACCTACCTCAGCCTCCCCAGCCTCCCAATTAGCTGGGACTACAGGCGCCCGCCACCACGCCAGGCTAATTTTTTTGTATTTTTAGTAGAGACGGGGTTTCACTGTGTTAGCCAGGATGGTCTCGATTTCCTGACCTCGTGATCTGCCTGCCTCGGCCTCCCAAAGTGCTGGGATTACAGGCGTGAGCCACCGCGCCCGGCCAAGAAAGCACTTTTAAGGGTATGGTCTGATTAATAGAAAAGCAAATATCATTCTTTTTGGAAGCAAAAAAATTACAATAATTTTCCAATGATTCAAAATGGTACAGTCAAACACTCACTAAACACCAGTAGAAAATGAATCACAACTTTGTGTAACACTGTATATTGTATATAACATCAAGCTGCTCTTATTTATTTGCTTTTACTCGATTCAGAAAGGCGATTTCTATCTAGAAAAAGAAAAGTAATATCTGGGAAAAATGGTCACTTGCACTGTTTGACAAGAAACCAGACCATGGGATTTAGTGTCTTTCCTCTGCTTTTTTCTCTAAATCAAATGATGGGATTTGTTATCTATTATTTGTTGTATGATTGATTTGGTGGGCAAGGAAGCTTAATATTCTCTCTTTGTTTCCTTTTTACCTCTTCCCTAAGTGTAGGAACTCTTCAAGAGTGCCTCCCTTGTTGCTTTCTATATGTTTCCATAGTACTTTCTTTAAGTAACCTCATCATCTTTCTCAACTTCTGTCTGAGACTTTTACATTTCTCTCTCTCTCTCCCTGGTCTGGCTCCTTGGCTGAACTCTCTTTTCACCTTTACAATATTCTGTGAGTCATTTCCATCTTAATATCCACTGGAACCTAAAATCCATTGTGATTCTTTCCACTTGTTTCACACCATTGAATTAGTTGTCAAGTTTTTAAAAACCTTCTTTCACAATATCTCTGACTTTCTTTTCTTCCTATTTTCCTGGCTAGTACTTTATATGACCCATGTGACTTGTAATATGCTAATGAGACAGCCCCTAAATATCCCCTTATTTGGAAAAAAAAGGATGTAAGAATTTACTGCTCTTTTCAGGCTTAATATTACTTCCTTTCTGGGGAGCTTTTATTATACTACAGGATTCCTACATATCAGAGAGACTTAACTCAAAGGAATAAACTTAAATAGTGATATTTTAGGTAGATTCGTGAGTAAGGGAATACCCTTTCACAGGTCTCTCATCTACCCAGTAAGCACTAGGGTAACAGAGACCTACTCTTATTTTGCTAAGTAAATTATGACATTGAGGCTTGTGAAATTTTCATTTCCACTCTCCTACTCCCTTCATGGTAGGAGTATACTTCCCTACATTCTTGATATTGTACTTGGCCATATAACTAGCTTTAGCCTCATGGTAGGTGAAATGTACTTTTTTCATCCTTTGGTGTTGGGCTTGGCCATGTCGCTTGCCTTGGTCAATGGGTTATTAGTAGATGTGACACCAGCAGAGACTCGAAATATGCTTGTGTCATTACTATAACAACATACCTCAACTAGTCAAGAACCTCTGTATTAGGGGTCTCTAGAGGGACAGAACTAATAGGATAGATACATGTATATAAAGTGGAGTTTATTAAGTAGTATTAACTCACACAATCACAAGGTCCCACAATAGGCCATCTACAAGCTGAGGAGCAAGGAAGCCAGTCCAAGTCCCAAAGCTGAAGAACTTGGAGTCTGGTGTTCCAGGGCAGGAAGCATCCAGCACAGGACAAAGACCTATCCTGGAAGGCTAAGCCAGTCTAGCCTTTTCACATTTTTCTGCCTGCTCTATATTCTGGGCACACTGACAGCTAATTAGATGGTGCCCACCCAGATAAAGGATGGGTCTGCCTTTCCCAGCCCACTGACTCAAATGTTAATCTCCTTTGGCAATACCTTCAGACATGCCAAGGATCAATACTTAGCATCCTTCAATCCAATCAAGTTGACACTCAGTATTAACCATCACAAGTCTACCCCTTGTCAACTTGAACCCATACACATCTCCTGAGATCATACATAATCTTCAAATAAAGACAATAATAAGGTCATAATTATGCCTAACAATACAACTCTCCTTCGCACAACTGGAAATTCACCAATCCCCAACCCAAATGCTATTACATAAAGTTAACAATACTTAAATGCTGATAAGAAGTCAATAAATCTTATGTCACATGATAAAGGGTAAAGGAAATACAATGAAGATATTTTCTTAGTACAAGTGTATACATGCACAAACATGTTTTTAACAAAAGAAGGAGTAAATATTCATGCCAATTAAGTCCTCGTTTCTGCAACTGGCTACATGGTCATAGCTGGAACTGATGACTACCTTCTTCTACTACCCATTCTGTATTCCCTTTACCTTTAGCAAGCGCCTCAGCAGGTCATGGCTTTTTTTTTTTTTTTTTTTTTCCTGGTGGAGTGACCCAAACCTTCATTCCTGAAGGGTCTGGTCATTTGTAGTCATGCCTGGATTGGATGTTGTAGTTTCCCATTGACCTTAATCACAGGTCATGGTAATACTAAGAGGTGCCCTAATGGATCTCCTGTATTCCATGCATACTCTTACTTACCTTTGTTATGGAGTAGTAGACTAATTTTGTCTTGATATTCCGGGTCAATCACCCCAGCCAACACTGTAACTCCCTTCTTAGCCTGTTGACTTAAAGGTGGAAGTGACCAGGTAGTAATCTTAACTTCCAGTTTACTGGAATCATAGTGTCTCCTGGTGGCAGTGTTCCTCCCTCTGGAACTAAGACTTCTAGGCAAGCAGAACGTAATGTAACAGGAACAGGAAGCAAAAATTTTGCTAGTGAATCACTAGGGGTGATGGTGAGAGGTGCCACTTCCACTTCTACTTCCACCCCTTGATTCCTGGCCCCATGAATCCTGGCTATGGGAGAAACAGTGCCATATATTGAACACCAATTCAGAGCATACATGGCCTTCTGGAGAACTTTGCTCCAGCCCTGAAAAGTATTGTTACCTAGTTGGCATTGTAATTGTGACTTCAATAGGCCATTCTACAATTCTGTCAATCCAGCTGCTTCAGGATGATGGGGAACATGGTAAGACCAGTGAATTCCATGAGCATGAGCCCACTGCCACACTTCTTTAGCTGTAAAGTGAGTGCCTTGGTCAGAGGCAATGCTGTGTGGAATACCATGATGGTTGTAAGGCACTCTGTGAGTCCATGGATGGTAGTCTTGGCAGAAGCATTGTGAGCAGGATAGGCAAACCCATATCCAGAGTAAGTGTCTATTCCAGTGAGGACAAACCTCTGCCTTTTCCATGATGGAAGAGGTCCAATATAATCAACCTACCACCAGGTAGCTGGCTGATCACCCTGAGGAGTGGTGCCATATCGAGGACTCAGTGTTGGTCTCTGCTGTTGGCAAATTGGGCACTAATCAATGGCCATAGGCAGGTCAGCCTTGGTGAGCAGAAGTCTGTGTTGCTGAGCCCATGCATAACCTCCATCCCTGCTTCCACAGCCACTTTGTTCATGGGCCCACTGGGCAATGACAGGTGGCTAGGGAAAGAGGCTGAGTGGTGTCCACAGAATGGGTCAACCTAACCACTTGATTATTAAAATCCTCTATTCTGAGGTCACCAGTTGGTAAGCACTCACATGGGATACATATATCTTCACAGTTTTTGACCACTCCGAGAGGTCCATCCACATACCTTTTCCCCAAATTTCTTTGTCACCAGTTTTCTAGTCATGCTTTTTCCAAGTCCCTGACCATCCAGCCAAACCATTGGCTACAGCCCGTGAATCAGTATACAATTGCTCATCTGGTTATTTTTCCTTCCATGCAAAGTGCACAACCAAGTGTACTGCTCAGAGTTCTCTCCAATCGGAAGATTTCCCTTCACTGCTGTCCTTCAGGGATGTCCTAGAAAGGGGCTGTAGTGCTGCACCTGTCCACTTTCAGGTGGTACCTGCATATCGTGCAGAACCATCTGTGAACCAGGCCCTAGTCTTCTCTTCCTCTGTCAGCTGATCATAGAGAACTCCCCATGAGAGCATTGGTGCAGGCTGAGGGAGAGAAGGCAGTGTGGCAGGGGTGGTGACCATGGGCATTTGAGCCACTTCCTCATGTAACTTTACTATTGTCTTCAGGACCTGCTCAAGCCCAGTCACATATATACAACTTCCATTTGATGATGGAATGCTGCTGTGCACAACCCACTTTATGGGTCTAGATGGGTCTGAAAGCACCCAGTTCATGATGGGCAATTCAGGTCGCATGGTGACTTGATGACCCATAGTCAAACGTTTGGTTTCCACCAAAGCCTAGTAACAGGCCAAGAGCTGCCTCTCAAAAAAAGGGGAGTAGTTATCTCCAAAAGATGGCAGGGCCTTGCTCTAAAAATCCTAGAGAACTCTGCTGTGATTCACCTATGGGCGCCTGCACACACACACACACACACACACACACACACACACACGTGTATATATATGGGAGTTTATTAAGCAGTATTAACTCACACAATCACAAGGTCCCACAATAGGCCATCTACAAGCTGAGGAGCAAGGAAGCCAGTCTGAGTCCCAAAGCTGAAGAACTTGGAGTCTGATGTTCACGGGCAGGAAGCATCCAGCACAGAAGAAAGATGTTGGCTGGGAGGCTAAACCAGTCTAGCCTTTTCACATTTTTCTGCCTGCTCTATGTTCTGGCCACGCTGGCAGCTGATTAGATGGTGCCCACCCAGATTAAGGGTGAATCTGCCTTTCCCAGCCCACTGACTCTTAATATCCTTTGCCAACACCTTCACAGACACACCCAGGATCAATATTTTGCATCCTTCAATCCAATCGAGTTGACACTCAGTATTAACCATCACAAGCTCCAAGAAGGTTAAGAGACATTAACAGACTGAAAAACAACCTGCAGCGTATAGCTGCCCAGCTATGCCCAGCCTAGACCAGATGAACCCCACCTGACTCACATGAGCTAACTAAATGTTTATCATTGATATGATAAACACATATGAGGTAAGTAAATGCTTTTCATCCTATGCCTCTGATAGTCATTGTTTGTTTCACAACAATAGCTGCCTGATACAAGTTTCTGTAAGATTTGTTTAGCTTCAAATAAGCAAAGTATTTTAGTATGTGATACTCATTAAGAAGGTAAAGTGAATTCATATAATTTACAGATGGTCATAATAATGTTTGAGGAGAAGAGAGGAATCCTAATATATATTTAGCATGTTCTTTCACAATTAAAAATCTAATTCAGCAGATCTCAAATTTTCACGTGATTAAGAATCACTTGGGCAGATCATTTAAGGAACAAATTCCTGACTCTAACCCTAGCAAGTAATTCATTTGTTTTGGGTCAAGTACTAGGAATCTGTATTTTTAATTATTACTCCCAAGTGGTTATAATGCAGTTAGTTTAAGAAACATTGGTTTCTTTTTTTTTACATTCTTCTCTTCTCTTTTTCAAGATGCCACAGAAACAAAAAGTATAAGATATATTTGAGTGACACATAAAACAAACATAACATAGAAAATGAAATGATAAGGGGTCTATTCAGTTCATTTATACTCTGCTGAATCTTTTTGACTATTATGAGTTGAAGATTGAAGAGCAACATTATCCTAATATTTCTGGTATCTAGGAGTTTATGTCATAAACTTGGCATGCTTTAATTTTTATTTTAGCATTATTTCTTTTTAATACCAAACAATTCTCCAGAGACCTCTTTTCAACAACCAATGTTCCCTTTGGCAGTGAAATCCACTTACCTTAACTGATTGTGATTATACTTCAACCTAGTTCTCAGAGCCATGATGGTAACATTCATTTTACTCTCCCAAAAGGCTCTTAGTATTCATTAAATATTTGATTAACATTGTCTAATAAAGCTTATAGAATGCAGAAACATGAAACCTAACTCCACCATGATTTTTACTTCTGTCTCTTTCATTAACACTATGAGTTGCTTCTCTAAAATAATTAAAATCCATAATTGAATACACTAGAATAATTTTGGAAAATTAGCTTAATTATTCTAGTACTTCCATTTGGAAAGCTTGCATTATTTATTACAACTAAATGGATAAATGTGGTCCTTCTTTTCTTTTTTTTCATTTAACATTTACTATTTATAAGGGAATATTAGTTTTGTATATTTGTATTGTTTTCTAAAGGAAGTGAAAAATAGCCTTAAAGCTAAGTTGACAAGAAGAACATAAGGATGACTTGGGCACTATAAATAGGATGAGTACACTAACTACAGAAGTCTCATTCATCTTCAGGAATTGGCTCATTATACTCTGAAATATCCAGCTCTCTCTCCTCACTGAGTATATTTTCCAAGTTTTAAATTATTCCATACCCTTTAGAAGCAAAATGGAATATGGGAAATGGTAAATTTTTCAAAGATTCTCTTTGGAATAAAGAGACTAGATTTTCTTTCTCTGCTAACTTTAGGCTTTATGGTTCACTGGTAACCTAGAGTGAATTTGGGCTACAAATAGTTCACTAGTCTGCATTAGGCCTGTAGCTGAGCATGGCATCTAGGACACAGCTTGGTTATTTATATAACAGAAAAACTGGAGGTGTTTTATGGACCCAAATATAAGCCTAAATAAGACATTGTAAACTTAGATTAAATCCCTCTTTGTTATATTCACATAGAAATCCAAGCAATCATACTGTAGGTAGAGGACAGTATTTTTATTAAAAACATTTCAGTTCAGCTTTATGAGATAAAAGTTATTCAGAACACTGACGACTATAGTGACTTTATTTTTTTTGAAACACATATTTATGAGAAATAGCAAGGGCCTCAATGGGAATTACTCAATATTTTAGAAGGTCTGGGGTTCACCCAGTCAGCAGTAATATGAGCTGCTGGGTCATAAGTCACAAATATGCTTGGATTTCATAATTGTAAGTTTTACCTCTGGCTTAGTAGAATAATTCAACTGTCTGCACAAAATCAAATAAAAATACTCAAACAATTTAAAAGAGAAAGAAATTAAACCTAATATAAAATGTCAAAAGCTGTCCATTAAAATTTATATTTGTGAATTCTCTCAAGTTAAGCTAAATAAGTATCTGTAATAAAGAGTTCTACAATGCCACTGCCATCTTTACTACCAAATTTCTTAGCTTAGCATTTGAAATAAAATTTGCAGAACCAGGTTGTGGCATGGTATCATGTCAGTGCTGAAATCCCCAATTTCTATACCATTTTCTCCACTTTCTTTGATATTTCTATTCCCCATTCCCACACTGCCCCCCCAACCCCTATAAACTACTTACTTAAGCTTTCCAAGGGAAGCTGATCAATGGAATAAGAGTACTTGATTTATATTTCCCATGAAGTAGAGCTCATGTTGCTCTGGAGCCTAAGGGGTTGACCAGTCAGTGTTGACAGCCACAAGGTGGCCCATGAACAACTTTTTGGAATGGACTTAACCTTTTAAAAAGTTTCATGATTTTTTGCAGTACATGACACTATGGTCATGAAAGCAGAGGCCCTGTCTGTCTTGTTCACTAAGCACCCAACACCTAGGACTTAGGATGTATCTGGCGCAAAGGAGGTATACAATAAATATTGATTGAATAAATGAATGAATAAAGGCATGCATAAATAATTGAAAATTAAGAGCAATAAACACAGGTTTTTGAGGGCTACTGCAGTCAAGACATTAGTATTTTGAAGCAACATGTATTTATTTGTTTATAAAATATTTACTCAGTACACATTATGCAACAGGCACTATGCTAGCCTCTGGAAATACAAAGGAAAGAGGATAGACACTATCACTGCTCTGCTGTAATGTGTAGTCCAGTACAAGATACAGAGGATTATAACACACAATAATAAGGTCTATGACAGGGGAGGACAACATGCCATGGGAGCACAGAGATATGTCACCAGACCCAAACTGGAGATCTCACGAAATACATTTTTTTAAATGTTTAATATTTATTTATTTATTTATTTATTTATTTATTTATTTATTTATTTAGAGACAGGGTCTCATTCTGCCACCCAGGCTGGACAGCAGTGGTGTGATCTCAGCTCACTGCAACCTCTGCCTCCCGGGTTCAAGTGATTTTCCTGCATCAGCCTCCCAAGTAGCTGGGATTACAGACATGTACCACCATGTCTGGCTAATTGTTTTTTTTTTTGTATTGTTAGTAGACATGAGGTTTCACCATGTTGGCCAATCTGGTCTCAAATTTCTGACCTCAAGTGATCCACCTGCCTTGGCCTCCCAAAGTCCTGGGATTACAGGCATGAGCTAACGTGCCCAGCCACAAAATACATTTTAAAAAGTGATATGTAAGTTGGTATCTGAAGAAAGAATAAGATTTAACTCAGCGAAATTAGAGATGAGGGAGAGAAAGGAAGAATATCATAGACATGTCAGAATGAAGCTGAGAAAGATACTGACAGTGACATCCTCTATGGACTTAACTTAGGGGTCATGTTAAGGAGGCTGGCCTTTATTCCATAAGCTATGAGGAAGTATTTTAGGAAAGAAACTCAAAAGTTTAAATGAAAATTATGCATTTGATTATAAAAAAAGTATGCCTTTAGTGACTTGCTTTCAAATAACAGAGTATAGAAAGAGACAAGTAATAACTTAACAATGGAGAAACCTGGCTAAATGATCAAGGTTACTACCATCAGTGATGTTGTGTGGATAGCAGGTACTGCCTGATATGATGTGATGAGAAGGGCACTCTATGACACTATATCTACAAACACATAACCCCAGTCTAATTATGAGAAAAATATCAGACAAATCCAAATTTAGGGTCATTTTATGAAATACTTGACTAGTATTCCTCAGAACTGTAAAGATCATGAAAGAAAGCCTGAGAGACTATCATAAACCAGAGGATACCAGAAAGACATAACAAATAAATATAATATGGCATCCTGTATCAGTAATATATCAATACTGATATTTATTAGATTTAACAAATGTCTCATGATGATGGAAGATGGCAACAGGTGAGGGGATTTCAGTATTCCCTATACTATCTTTACAATGTCTCTATAAATCTAAAATTCTTCCAAAATAAAAAATGTTTATTGTAAAAGAGTGAAAAACAGTGTATGGCTATGACATGATAGATTTGCAAATAATACTTGTAATACTTGGGATATAAATATTTAAATTCTATACCACACAAAGATTCTTTAAATTGATAAGAGAAACACAAATAACTGACTAGAAAAATAGGCCAATTTTATTATAAAGAATTTCCCAGAAGAGTACATTCGAATGACCAGTAACCATGCTCAGTCTTACCAGTAGCCAGAGAAATGCAGATTAAAACAATGAGATAATCGCTTTTTAACCCAGTAAATTGTTAAAAATTTAAAAGAGTGGTAATTTCTGGTGTTAACAAGGATTCCAAAAATTTAGCATTTTCATATATTGCACGTGGAAATTTTGCTATATTTTTGTGGAAATCATGTTGGCAATATATTAGAATATAATATGCATACATTTTCCTAGCAAACAGACTCATGCTTTCTGCTTCTATGATTTCATAAAAGTAAAAGTTAGCATAAAATAAGGGTAGATATTGCAGTGGGATTTTTTGAGCAACAAAAAGTATTGAAATGAAAAGAAAGTTATTAATATGAGAATGATGAAAAACAGGTGAGTACATTGGACCAAAGATTCAAAGCAATCATTATGGATGAATTAGAATCAAGGTTTGGGAGGCTTTCCAGAGTATTTTACCAAATTCGAAAAAAAGATATAGATAAATATATAAAATACAATTGCCTTTTATAAATTTAATGATATATATTTATATACACAGTGAAAGTGGAAGTCTCGATACCTTACACTAATTAAATAATTTTTGCTTTCCTCCACTAATAAGCAGACTTTTCTCAGATCTCCCTTTCTTGGCCTTAGATTATATCTTGATGTCAGATTTCTTGTTTTTTTCCAGTCATATTTTTAGATAATAAAAATCTAGGCTGGGTGTGGTGGCTCATGCTGTAATCCTAGCACTTTAGGAGGCCAAGGAGACCAGCTTGGGCAAGATAGCAAGACCCCATCTCTGCAAAGAAGAAAAAAAAAGCTGAGCATAATTGTGCATGCCTGTAGTTCCAGCTACTGGGGAGACTGAGGCAGAAAAATCACTTGAGCCCTGAGAGGTTGAAGCTGCAGTGAGCTATGGTTGTGTCACTGCACCCCAGCCTGGGCAACAGAGCAACACCCTGTCTCAAAAAAAAAGAAAAAAGAAAAAAGAAAAAGTCAAATCTAATCTAATATCAAAACTTCAATCTCCCAAACAGTTCAAATTGCCTCCCATACCCCTAGCTCAGGCTGGATCTTGGCTTCTGCAAAACATATTGAGGATGATGAAGGGAAGGCTGGTATATTAGTCTGTTTTCACTCTGCTGATAAAGGCATACCCAAGACTGGGCAATTTACAAAAGAAAGAGGTTTATTGGATTTACAATTTCATGTGGCTGGTAAGGTCTTACAATCATGGCAGAAGGTAAAAGGCACATCTCACATGGCAGCAGACAAGAGAAGAGAGTTTGTGCAGGGAAACTCCCCTTTTTAAAACCATCCGATCTCCTGAGACTTATTCACTATCATGAGAACAGCACTGGAAAGACCTGCCCCCACGATTCAATTGCCTCCCACTGGGTCTTTCCCACAATGTGGGTATTCAAGATGAGATTTGGGTGGGGACACAGCCAAACCATATCATTCCACCCCTGGCCCTGCCTAAATCTCATGTCCTCACATTTCAAAACCAATCATGCCTTCCCAACAATCCCCCAAAGTCTTAACTCATTTCAGCATTAACTCAAAAGTCCATAGTCCAAAGTCTCATCTGAGGCAAGGCAAGTCCCTTACACCTATGAGCCTATAAGTCAAACACAAGTTAGTTATTTCCCACATACGGGTACAGGCATTGGGTAAATACAACCATTGCAAATGGGAGAAATTGGCCAAAACAGAGGGGCTACAGGCCCCATGCAAGTCTGAAATCCAGTGGGGCAGTCAAATCTTAAACCTCCAAAATGATCTCCTTTGACGCCATGTCTCATGTTCAGGTCATGCTGATGCAAGAGGTGGGTTCCCATGGTCTTGGGTAGCTCTGCCTCTGTGGCTTTGCTGGGCACAGCCCCCTTCCTGGCTGCTTTCATGGGCTGGCATTGAGTGTCTGCAGCTTTTCCAGGTACATGGTGCAAGCTATCAGTTGATCTACCATTCTGGAGTCTGGAGGATGGTGGCCCTCTTCTCTCAGCTTCTCTAGGTGGTGCCACAGTAGGGACTTTGTTTGGGGGCTCTGACCCCACATTTCCTTTCCATACAGCCTTAGCAGAGGTTCTCCATGAGGGCCCCACCCCTGCAGCAAACTTCTACCTGGGCATCCAGGCATTTCCATATATCTTTGAAATCTAGGCAGAGGTTCCCAAACCTCAATTCTTCATTTCTGTGGACTCGTAGGTTCAACACCATGTGGAAGCTGCCAAGGCTTGGCAGCTTCCACCCTCTGAAGCAGCAGCTCAAGCTGTGCCTTGGCTCCTTTTAGTTATAGCTGTAATGCAGGGCACCAAGTCCCTAGACTGCACACAGCAGAGGGACCCTGGCTCAGCCCACCAAACCATTTTTCCCTCCCAAACCTCTGGGTCTGTGATGGGAGGGGCTGCCGCAAAGGTCTTTCACATGCCCTGGAGACATTTTCTCCATTGTCTTGGGGATTAACATTCAGTTGTTTGTTACTTATGCAAATGTTTTCAACTGGCTTGAATTTCTCCTCAGAAGATGGGATTTTTTTTTCTATTGCATTGTCATGCTGCAAATTTCCCAAACTTTTATGCTCTGCTTCCCCTTTAAAACTGAATATCTTTAACAGTACCCAAGTCACCTCTTGAATGTTTGCTGCTTAGAAATTTCTGCTGCCAGATATCCTAAATCATCTCTCTCAAGTTCAAAGTTCCACAAATCTCTAGGGCAGGGGCAAAATGCCACCAGTCTCTTTGCTAAAAGGTAACAAGAGTCACCTTTGCTCCAATTCCCAACAAGTTCCTCATTTCCATCTGAGATCACCTCAACCTGGACTTTATTTTCCATATCGCTGTCAGCATTTTGGGCAAAGCCATTCAAAAAGTCTCCAAAGTTCCAAACTTTCTTACATTTCCCTGTCTTCTTCTGAGCCCTCCAAACTGTTTCAACCTCTGCCTGTTACCCAGTTCCAAAGTTGCTTCCACACTTTCAGATATCTTTCCAGCAGCGCCTCACTCTGCTGTTCCAATTTACTGTATTAGTCTGTTTTCACATTGCTGATAAAGGCATACCCAAGACTGGGCAATTTACAATAGAAAGAGTTTATTGGACTTACAATTCCACATGGCTGGGGAGGCCTCACAATCATGGTGGAAGGTGAAAGGCACATCACACACTGGCAGTAGACAAGAAAAGAAAGCTTGCGCAAGAAAACTCCCATTTTAAAACCATCAGATCTCATGAGAACTATCATGAGAACAGCATAGGAAAGACCTGCCCCCAGGTCCCTTCCACTACATGTGGGAATTCAAGGTGAGATTTGGGTGGGGGCACAGCCAACCTTATCAGCTGGGTAGTGATGCAGTATCATTTATTCTTTCACTATTGCTCTATCTTGTTCTTACCTTTCCCCTCACACTCTTGCTGCTTCTGACACTGCAGTGTCAGAGCAGGAAGGGGAGATAAGAGGTAACCAGGCAATGGCTGATGTTATTGGGAATTTTTTCTTGGTTCCTCTATGCTGTCTGTCATAACAGATGTCTAACTGTTGCTAGCTTTTTCTCTTAGGAATTATTTGTGGATTCTTTAGAAACACTACTACCTCCAGCAACCTGGTACTATGGCTTTTTATATTCTACCTTTTTCTAATTTGAGTGATACACGTTTAGTCTAGCCTTTTATTATTTTCTCTTAACTTCTTTCCAAAGGGTATATATCCTGGGCCCTCTCCTTCTGCCAAGCACCCTAAAAAGGGATCCTTTCAAGGCAGCTTTAGCTTACTTACAATGATAGTATCACTTGACATGGAAAACTTAACCTCTTGCCCCACATCTATGGAAATGTATTTTACTCTTGTTGCACTCTTCTCTCCTTATTCTGATGTCAGGGAATTCAAGCAGCTTTTAGTTTTATCATGTATTCTTCCAAATTCTTGTAGGGATATATAATATTTTCAAAGAATCCTTTTGCAATAGAGGTAGATGAAGGACTAGTTAGGCTAATGAGTTTCCTTGGGTTATCAAGCATCCATCCAGAAAATAACTGTGGCAGAATCTCCTTATGCACATACCCCTGAATGTTCCCAAGGACTTTATGGCCATCTTCCTCGTTCTCCACTCCTGCTCTTGGCTTGATAGGTGAGAGGGCAGCATCCACTCCACTAGTAGAAAGAGGAAAGGCTGATTCACACTCTTTTAAGTCAGTACCTCTTTGTATAAATAAATCTTCATATGTAGGCTAGATCTTGTGGATAAGTAAGAGTCACAGGCCCAGTTGTATTCCCCTTTTAGAAAGCCTTGTAAAAATGTATCCAGGACCTTTCCTTAACAAATTTAGAATGTTTTGACATTTACTACTCATCATCTTCTGCTTACGGCTTCAGGCCAGTGTCAGAGTACAGGGTCAATTCCATTTAACATTCTGTTATGTAAAAATGTGTACATGATTATATAAATGTGGGGAAAAGTAACAACCAGATTTTTTATATTGATTTTCTAGATAGAGAATGGAGAATGGAGGGGTGAGAGAAAAGAAAAAAGGAAAACAAACGCATTCACAAATAACAACAGCATTTTAGAATGATCTCTAAATACACATGTTTGATGGTGTGATTATATAGACATGGAAAAATGAAAGAAGAGAAGGTCAGCAACAAACTGTTTCTGGTGATTATCTCAGGATGGCAGGATTTCAGATGATTTATACTTGCTTCTTTATGCTTTTCTTTATGACAGTGTTTCAAAACATTTGTATATGATCAGGTAAAAACTATAGAGCAACATTTTAAAAAATACAAGTTTTGGGAATCTTAAAGAAGATGAAAAATTTATCTTTCCAAAGTTTTCAGAGCCTTTAATTTGGTAACATATATTGGGAAACTCTAAGAGTATTCGTCAATACAATGTAACTATAAACTCTCATTTTTAAAGTATAGAACACCTTTAAGAAACTCTACTCAATAGATATGTCAAACAAAGATTATTTTAAAATTACATCTAGTCATTGATGTTCTATAACTGAGCAATTTCTGTTTTCTTTCGTACGTATGTTTGAGGTGATATATTCAGAAATGTCAATGTTATGCCCGCTGTCCCCCTTTTTCCCATTATAATATAATGGGAGCATAATAATAGGGATCTGAGCTGCCATGTGTAACACTATAGGTTGCTGTCTTAGTTCACTTGGACTACTATAACAGAACACTATAGACAGGGTGGCTTATGATCAACAGAATTTTTTTTCCTCAGGTCTAGAGGTTGGGGAATCTATGGTAAGCTGCCAGCAGACTTGATGTTGATAAGTGCCTGCCTCCTGGTTCATAGACAGTCTTCTTGCTGGGATAAAGGAGCCCTCCCAGGGTCTCTCTCTCTCTCTCTGTTGTTTTGAGACAGAGTCTTGCTTTGACACGATCTCAGCTCACTGCAACCTCTGCCTCCTGGGCTCAAGCGATTCTTTTGCCTAAGCCTCCTGAGTAGCTGAGATTACAGGCACCTGCCATCATGCCAGGCTAATTTTTGTATTTTTAGTAGAGACAGGATTTACCATATTGGCCAGGCTGGTCTTGAACTCCTGGCCTCAAGTGAGCCACCTGCCTCGGCTTCCCAAAATGCTGGGATTGCAGACGTGAACCACTGCACCTGGCCCCCAGTCTCTTTTGTAAAAGCACTAATCTCATTCGTGAGAGTTCTGCCTTTATTACCTAGTCACTTACCAAAGGCCCCACCTCTTAATATGGTAACATTGTGGGTTAGGATTTCAACATATGAATTTGTCACAGGGGTCATGGGGGGTGGGTGTGGGCTGGGCGGTGGGGATTGGGATTGGGAGAGGGGAGCACACAATCATTCAGTCTGTAGTATCCCCATTTAGAATAGTACCTGACACATAATTTGTAATCAGTAAATATTTATTAAGTGAATAAATGGATGATTTGTCTATATTGTTCTTAAATTCGGTTGCACATTCATTTTGCGCAGTAATTTTAACATAGAATTGTTTAACTATTTAAGAGTAAATCATTTTTAAGTTTTTTTAAATTTATACTGTCAAATGTGTTTGGAGAAAGACTATAACATTACTATATTACCACCAGTTGTGTATGAGACTATCCATTTCTTTTCACTCTGGCCATCTTGGGGTAGTATCATGCTTTTTAATTATTATTAATCTGATAGATGAAAAATGGTTTCAGAGTATTGTTTTAATTTTTTTTTATTCATTGGCTAGTAAGAATGAGTCTTTTCTGAAACTTACCACTTTAAATTCCTCTTTTGTTAATGGTCTATTTGGGTGATTTGCTAATTTGTTTAATTTGTGTGATTGTCTTTTTTTCTTAATAATTTGGAAATGCTCTTTAAATGCTTAGAAAAATAGCTTTTTTCTCCCTCAAAATTCCAGATGAATTTCATCTCCAATTTGATGTTTATGTTTTTATTTAGATGGTGTTTTTATATGTAGACATTTTGATGTGAACATGTCCCTCAATTCACTGCAATCTACATGAAATTTTGCAAGTCCTTAACATTTAAGGGCTGATACAGATTAAAAAAAATTTTTTGTCTATTTCATTTTAGTTTTTAATATTTTAGTCATTTAGTTTTTGATATTTTCCTGTGGTTCACTGGCATATACCTTCAAAAAAAATTTATAGAAAAATACCTTATATCCTAGATTCTGAATCTTAGCATTCAGATAATGTAAGTCTTTAGCATTTACATGTCTCCTACAATTTGGCTGCACATCAAAAATTTTCTCTAAAAACTCTATAGGTGTCATTTAATTTTATTATTTAATATTTGTTGGGACAATTCTGGAGCCACTTTGATTTTGGTTCCCCTCATCCTCAAATGTCTTTAATCTGGATGATGAGGAGAGTCTTTGTCTTTAAAATTTAAAAATATCACTGCTATGTATAGCCGTGTGTTATTTTCTGCACTAATTTTCTCAGTTTTTAGTAAGCTCTTTAGATATGCAAATTCAGGCATTTCTATAGGTCAGAAAAGATATTTTAATTTATTATTGTTATTCATATTATTGTATTTAATTTTATTTGTAGAGACAGGGTCTTGCTCTGTTGCCCAGGCTGAAGTGCAGTGGCATGATCATAGCTCACTGTAACCTCGAACTTCTGGGCTCAAGCAGTCCTCCTGCCTCAGCCTCCCAAGTAGCTAGGATTATAGCCACATGCCATCACACTGGCTAATTTAAAATAACAATTTTTTTTTTGTAGAGTTGGAGTCTCACTATATTGCCCAGGCTGGTCTTGAAAAATCTTCTCACTTCAGTCTCTCAAAGTATTAGGATTAGAGGCATGAGCCACCGTGCCCGGCCTACTTTTTTTTTTAATCAAATTTTTTCTGGTATTGTGTTTAGGAACAACACATAGCTGGCAATTGGATACTGATTTTCTAGCCTTTAGTTTATTTGGCCTTCCTCTGATTGCTTGTACATTTTCACTCATTCATCCTCTACATTCTGTCAGGATGATTTGACCGTTCATTGCTCTTGGCACATATTTCAGTTCTTCAACTGCATTTCTTCCATTTCTCTCTCTATTTTATTTGTTTGTTTGTTTGTTGTTGTTTTGTTTGGCTTGGTTTTTGAGAGAGGGTCTCATTCTCTCACCCAGGCTGGAGTGCAGTGGCGTGAGCATGGCTCACTGCAGCCTCGACCTCTAGGGCTCAGGTGATCCTCACACCTCAGCCTCCTGAGTAGCTAGGACTTACAGGTGCATGCACCATATCTGGCTAGTTTTTTGTTTTGTTTTGTTTGCAGAGACAGGGTCTCCCTCTGTTTCTCAGGCTGGTCTCAAACTCCTGGGCTCAAGCCATCCTCTCACCTCCACCTCCCAAAGTGTTGGGTTTAAATCATGAGCCTTTAAAGGCATGCACCCAGCCTCTTCCATTTCTCTTATCTCATTGTGCTTTTACAATTTTTCCTCTCAGTGTGTTTTATTTTCTTTACCATTTTATTTTTCATCTCTGGTTTAAGAATCCATTTATTTTTTGAATTTTATTGTGAGTACAAAATTGACAGATTTACAATTTTTACTTTTGTTCTCAATAATAAGGTACTTAGGGAAAAGTACATACATACATATATATGTGTGTGTGTGTGTGTGTGTATATATATATAATTATAAAAAATTATTCATTGAATGAGAGAAATCTATTCATGGTTAGTAATTACCCATAAGTGGTTTGATGTATTCTCACTGTCTAAATTGTTGCCATAAAAATTTACATAACCAGTGGTGTATGAGCCTAAGGTGAATCGAGAGGGAGCTAAAGTTATAGGAAGTTCAAGCAGGGGAAATTCCTTATAGAGAATTTTCTTCTTAATGAAACTGATATATTGGGAACCAGCTTTCAGATGATGTCTTCTTTTGGTCTCAGCCTTGCACCAGGGTCAACCTTCCTGATCTGCTGCTGCTCCATTCATCTGCACATAACTGTAGCCCTGGGTCTTGCAGGGCAATCAATTTCCAAGTGGCAAACAAGAGTCTAAGTGGGCCATGCACTGTTCATGACTCCAGTGTTTATTCTCCAAAGTTAGTTACCGGTTTTTCCTTCTTCCTGATGTTTCTAATGTTTCTTAGCAGGATAATTTGGAGATCATTTCTCATTTCCTATCTTCAATATTATCTGTACTTTTTTGTATAATTTACTACAGATTGTTTTTTTGTTGGTGGACCCTCTCATGGTTGAGCAGATTTCCCTGTTTTATTTTTTTACATTCTATGGCTCATTTCAGTAGGAATCTGGAGCAATGAGCAGGCCCTTCATGTTACTAGGAATTTTCTGTTATCTAGATGGCTGCAGTTTCTTCTGCAATTTCTAACAGGAGTTTCTTACTGTCCTGATGAACTTCTGGAATCATTCAAGTTGGTTTTATTTATCAAATACTGAATATCTGTTATATTTCAGGCCCTCAAGATACCAAGATGAATTTTTAAATATGCTTTCTTCCAGACAGAACCATCTAAATGGCTAAACAGCAAGAAAATTTACACACAATGTGATTAGTTCAATCATTCAGGTATGGGAAAAATATTTCTGCAGCTCCTTAGTGGAGGCAATAGGGAGAATATAATTGTAAGTCAAATTGAGATTAGTTGGAAATGCAGAAGCAATCAGGAAGGGCAAAGGAAAGTCACTGAAGAGGGAAGTAACCGCATGTGAGCAAGCCAAAATATGGAAGGGAAAAAGCTTTAAGTATTTCATGCCAAATAAATATAAAGAGATTTTTGTCTTCCAAAAATGGATAAGCATGACTTCTGTGTCTTCTTTCAAGTCACTGAAGAGCAATATTGCCAAAGGAAACAACCTCATGGCATAGAATAGCATAACCATCAGGATTGGTATTATGTCATTGTTCTATCTCTTTTTACATTATATCCTAAAATATCATGTGATTTTGCTGAATATTTTAACGAAATTGTCTTTGTGTGTCTGGGCTATTCATCTATTCTTCTAATAGAGAAACTGTACAAAAAAAGGAACTAGTATTGATTTGATTTAGATTTTCTTACTGACCCTAGGTGGACTGCTTTGATTTCCACTCTTTTCTTCCTAAATATATACAAGCCATCTGCTTAAAAACCTGTCCCAGTATTTTCTTTTGAGATTGATGTCAACATTTCTATGGTTTCTGGAGCCCAGACTTAAAATAAAAGGGATGAGACACTTTTTGCCTATCTCAGTCTTTTGGTACCTTTTCAAGTTTGTATGGCTTTTAAAAGTTAATTTAAGGTAGGATGTGTTCATATCTGAAAATGCCTCAGCCATCTCTATTTCAGTAATCTGGGTCTGAATATTTGAACTCTTTTCATACACTTAAATGTTAATTTAATTTCTTCTCTGTTATCTTGAACTTCAATTCACTACATCTCACAGATTTTACTTCTTTCTAGATGAATAGAAAGAAGGTTTATATTATTTAAAAGATACTAACTTAAGCCTGTGAGTCATTTGACACTTTGCTGTCTTGGATCATAAATAATTATGCCAACTTTTAGAAGGGCAGAATGTAAATTGTTCCTCTGCAGAGATCTCTCCCACTATTGATAAGTTCAGACTTTTCTCATTTAATCATTTCTTATTGTTATATTGGATTCTTTACCTTTCAAATACTAAATGAAAGGTCATTGAACACAATTTCTTAACCAAATTGTATTTGGACAAATTAGAAGCTTATTTATTGGTTGCTCATTTAAACTACTTTTCTCCAGAGACAGCTGGAAGGTCTGCTAAGCTTCGGCTGTTGCCTTGGGCTAGCTGGGAAAGAGACCTATGTATTCTTACAATGGAGTGCATTATAGGAAGTTGTTGAGCAAGGAAGGGTCAGACACAAGAACTTGCGTAGTCTTGAGGCAGTTTCTGAGGTATTCTTTGTATTCCCTTGGCTCTAATATTGGAATAAAAATTATATCCCAAAGTAATCACAACTGACTTTCTGTCTACTATTTTAGTCAGTCTATGTTTCCTTTCTTCATTACTAGGGATTGTGTAGACATCTTGAATTTATTTCCAGGCCACCACTTTAATTAGTATCACATTACTGTAATATAAGGTTTGGATTTTTTTCATAATGTCTTTAAGATCTTTCATTTCTTGCCTATAAGGTATATAGGTGTTATCTTAGATGATAAATAAGGACCATTTCTATTAAAAAAACTATTGTAGCAATTTTTGCTTCGCTGAGGTAAGCTGTTAGTCATCTGCCTCCAAAGGGAAATCAGCTAGATTTTAAATATTGCTGTGTCTTTCTGGTTTTATAATATATTTTATTATCCAATATAGGTTCAGTATCTTTCCAAATTAGAGTTACTATGTTTACATTCTCCTTTACTAAGGCAAATTATTTTTTTCCTAATATTTTAATGAAAAAAGTATTGTTTTCTTGAGAAAATTAAATAAACTAAATAAAATTGTGGTGATTGTATTTTTTATTTCTAGCAAAAGTAGCAGGTATATGCACATGCATGTATATTTTTAACTTAAAGAGTAATATATGATATTCAAATAAGCATTGGCACCTGACATTTCCTGTTCTCTGCATAACATCCTCCCACCCCACATTCTGCTTTCTAGGAGCCAGAAATTGTGTTAGTATTCCAGGGACTTTTGGAAAATTGAATATATGCTTTCTCTGCTTTATTTTAAGGAGACTAAATCACAGTCTCAAACTTTATTTCTATTTATATATCACTTGTAAACACTCAAATATGCTGGTAATTACAAGTTATTGAACAATTTGAACTTGGTGGAGAACCTCTATTTTTGTTTATTTTTTGATTTACCACCTTTAGCTATCCCCCCTCTCTGTCTCTTAACAATTTCTCAGACAAATATCTAACTTTTTTATACATTTATTCCAGTGCAAAACTTCAATTATATTTCTTCCATGCACCCTATCCCTTTCTAACCCAAACCGGTGGGCTTTGGCTAGAATCATGGTGGGAAAGTGAGCATGGCCTGTGTGTTCCTTCACTCACCTGTGCCATCTTCTTCTGCTTCTCTTGAAGGTGGACCATGGTATTGGAGTAGTAGGAAGAAGTGGAGGGAGAAGAGGAATGTAGATATTTTTTACCTGACTGTCTTCCAATCACTTACTCTCTATGAGCTGTATGTGTTCTTCAGGGCACCCTGGGAGGGCCTCCCTACTGCGGTTTCCTGATCGAGATATGGTTCCTACATAGCCCCTCTTAGTTCCTGCCCTGCTCCTTGGTATTGCTCAGAGCCTGCTGTACCAGGGTTGCTGGGATCCCCTTGCTCAGAAGGCAGTTTTCTTGGTTGAAATGCCTACAAGGAAGTCGAAGCCTGGCTACTTTCCATGGTAAACATGATCTGCCAGGAAGATAAAATCCTTGTCACACCATAATGGAAGTGATGGCAGGTCCCACCATTGATCCTGCCTCTTCTACCACTTGTCTCAGTTCCTTTTTCTTTGGTCCAAGAGTCACAGAGCTGTTCTGCTCCATAGGCAGAAATAAAATGTTGGTCTCCTTCTTGCAACCTTACCCATTTTTGCTGGGTCATCACTTGGTTTTGTGTGGGAGGAGCATACTTCTCCCTTTTCTTGTTGAGTAAGGAGGGGAAAAACAAGTGGTTTCCTACCTAGCTCACTCAGTCGCTGCTCCAGACATTCTATCTTACATTCCTAATGCCTGTTTAAACAGGGTGGACCTGGAGTTGGGTACAGGGTAATGGTGGTAGGGCCAGTTCTAACTTTTCTTAGGAACTTTTCCAATAATATATCTGGGCTAGTCTTTAGAATGTGGTGTTTTATCACATCTATGACATTCATCTTTGGAGCATCAGAGCATCAGAACATCAGTTACAATTTGGTGGCAGGAGAACAAAAACCACTCAACATCACGTGGGAATAACATATAGACTTGTAAACCAAAAAGAAAAATACTAAGCGAAAAAATTTTATATCAGAGTACACAAACTTGCAATTGATAGAAATATATATAGGTTCTTTTTGGGTGGTTGCTTTTTTTTCTTCCTTTTTTTTTTTTTTTAAAGTGAAATACAATTTCAACATTACTTTTTTCCCTTGATAGACTTTCAGGAAAAGTGACCGATATGGTTTGGCTCTGTCCCCACTCAGATCTTATCTTGAATTCCCATGTGTTGTGGGAGGGACCCAGTGGGAGGTAACTGAATCATGGGGCAGGTCTTTCCAGTGCTGTTCTCATAATAGGGAATAAATTTTATGAGATCTGATGGTTTTAAAAAGGGGAGTTTCCCTGCACAAGCTCTCTTCTCTTGTCTGCCACCATGTGAGACGTGCCTTTTGCCTTCTGCCATGATTGTGAGGCCTACCTAGCCACGTTCTAATAAACCTCTTTTGGAAATTGCCCAGTCTCAGGTGTGTCTTTATCAGCAGTGTGAAAATGGACTGATACTATGACATTTTTCTCCTAATATCTGGCCTTCTGGAGAGGAAATGGATTAATTTGCTGAGGATGCTGGTGCCTGAAAGCCCTAGGGCTTTTCTATTATTTGTCCTGAGAGACCTTCTTAGGCCCAGTCCTTCCCTGAGGCTCCTCCTCCTCCCAGAAAGCCCAGGATCCAGCTGAGGAGGTGGGAGCTGGGGTCACTCAGAGCATTCTTTGAAAGACTGACTAGGAAATGGGCTAGACTCTCCTGCCCCATACATTAAAGAAAGGAGAGACAGAGGGCGAAATTCCATGAAGGCTTTCTGAATGCTTCTCTCTCTTCCTCCAGCAGAGCTGAACTTTCTTTCCCACCTGCAACTATCATGCCACTCTATCACTTAAAATATTTTATTACACTTATTTGTTTTTGTGCCCTCCAATAGACAGCATTTTAGGAGCAAATACCTTGTCTTATTTTGCCATTCATATTTCAGACACCAAAGGAGGCCTTGGCATGCCTCATGGCTTAAGTATTTGATGAATAAAGGGATTAATGAATATTGAATGAAAGGAATTATAAAAATAATAAAATGAGCAAATTAGTGAGCTTACAAATTTTATTAGCTTCTTATTGATGCTATAGCAAGTTACTACAAACATAATGGCTTAAAACAACAAGTGTTTACTATCTTGAAGTTCTGGAGGTCAGAAGTCCTAAAATCAAGGCATCAACAGGCTGCATTCCTCTGGAGGCTCTAGGGCAGAATCTATTTCCTTGCCTCATCTACCTTCTAGGAGCTGCCTGCATTCTTGGGCTGATGGCCTCTTCCTCATTCTTCAAAGCCAGCTTCATATCTCTTCCTCTCTGATTTCTGCTTTCATCTTTTCCTCTCCTCTGACTCTGACTCTCCTGCCTCTCTCTTATAAAGACCCTTGAGATTTTATTGGACTCACCCACATAATCCTGAATAATCTTCCAATATCAAAATACTTCACTTCATTACATCTGCAAAGCCTCTTTTTTCCATGTAAGGTAATGTGTTCACAGATTTCAGGATTGAGATGTGGATATCTTTGGGGTACTATTATTCTGTCTACCATAGATCCTTGCAGGATTCTTATAACTCATGTAATGCCTGGCTCATATTAAGTATAAATGAGAATTATATTGGGTTGGGCTAAAAATTGTTATTCCTAGAGCTAGAATTTGCAAATATTCCCATTTCACCCCCATACTCTCCTACTCCTCCACCCTCTCAAGTCTGACTCTCTTTTTAGAGAAGACTTTATTGCACATTTCTCAAAGATGCCCACTTCCCCGTACAAAGGCCAATAAATGGAAACTGCCCAGTTGCAGAATATCATTGACCTGATCCATTTGCTTAATCTCATGCAGCTAAATATCTTCCCTCTAAGATGGTGAAACACACAATACTCAGAGATCATGTAAGTAAGGAGCTATAAGATTTTTACCATTACTGAAATAAATTAGGCAAAACACTCTACCAGCTTAGGATAGACATTTATTTTTGGTGTCAATTGTTTTTAGCATATCATGACTTAGGCAAAATTACATCTGAGGAGAAGTATTTTCCCAAACTTTTCTTGGCTTCTCTAACTGAGTTACCTTTATCTTACCTATTTTTTTTACTTATACTAACCATTTTGCCTGGCAGCTCCACCCTGCTCTGCCTTTGTGTAAAAAGTTTACCTTGCCATCAAGGTTCATTCTACACTGCCCTCCTCAAAGTAGCTTTTTCGCCATCCCAGATGCTTAGACTTGGAATCAATATTTACTCTACTGTACTTTTACCATAGCACTTTTAGTGTGTGTATATGTGTGCATGTGTGCAGGTGCACATGTGTTTTGAAAGTCCTGTGGTATCAATGGTCAGAGTCATGGATTTTTGAGCCAAACTGCCTCAGTTTTAAATCCTGGCTCAAACATTTATCTGCTCAGTTGCTTGGGCTTGTCACTATATTCTAGACCCCAGAGCTTTCACCAGTAACATGGGTTTGTGTGAGATTGAATAAGTAAGGCTCTCAAACTAGTGCTTAGCTCACATTTAATATATCTTACGTGGTAGCTATTCTTTTCCAATGTTTGCTTATGTAGTTGTGTCTCTGTGTCACAGTAGATCTAGCTTTTAAAAGACAATGACAATATCCATGCCATAAGAGAGTCCCTGGAATATATAAGAAACTTAAAAATTGTTGGATTGAATGTTGTCTAAGCCTTCATTCTTTTTCTTTCTCTGTATCCCCTGTTTCTATAAATGGCACTGTCACCCTTTCATATGCCTGAGTCCCAACCTGGGGCTCTTTATCTCTACCTTTTTCTTACTTTCTCCGCTAATAACTATCCTTTATCTGTCTGTCCTTTCTGGCATTACCTCCAGTTCCAATCCTGAAGACCATAACTCTTACTACAGTAGACCATGAGTGGTTTCTTGGTTTTCACTTTGGCCCCATACAACCCATTCCCTAACCAGCAGCCAAAGAAACCTTTAAGACACATAAGTCAGATCACGATATTAACTTGCTTAAAGTCCTCCCATGACTACTGTGCTTTGAATAATATATGTTCCCCTTATTCTGATCCACCAAAATTTCTAAACCCTGGTTGCTGTCTGCTTCTCCAGTCTCATCTTGTTGCAGTCTCTCCTGTCTCATGGGCTCCACCTCCATTGGCATTTGTTCTATTCTTTATGCTTGTCAAGAAGCCTCTTACTACCTTAAGGCCTACTGTTTGCAGATGGAGTGCTGAAGGCTTGCCCTGTTTTATTCTGGACTGAGGTATTATAATTTCTTTCTGTTAGGGAAATGATGCAGTCACCCAAGTGCCTTGAGTTCTTGCTGGTTTCTTGGGCACAAACATGAAAATTGAAGACTTGATTTTTGTTTTTGTTTCCTAATCAGGGCTGTCATTTTTTGGCATTAAAAGTACAATCTCATTAGGGACTTTAGTGTATTGAAATTACTGAAGGCAACAAAAGATCAGAGCTTTGAATGACATTCATACCTATGCAATTGTATTGAGACACGTTTCCTTGGTTGCTGCTGGTTATTTTTCTTTATATTCCCTTATTTGTTGCACAGACTTGTTGCAATTGTTGTAAATGTTTATATCTACTTATTAGAGTGATTACTTTGCATTTATGTCTCAGCAGTGTGCATACTGTAACTCACACAAAATGTTAGCCGTTAAAAACGACTGCTGTGCCTGAGTTAATTAAAAATACAGAGGAGGCTGAATCTTATTGTGGGTATCGTATCAGGCTATGTTTGGACAAGAGTTTTTATATATTGTGAAGTGGAAAGTGCAAAAAAACCCTTAAAAAAAAAAAAGAAAAGACTTGTATCTTGACAGAGCCACATGCTTGAACCATGCTTCCTAATTTTTGTACCACAAAGGAGATGGTTTGTGTCTGATTATAATTCTGCTCTTCAGAAATTTATATGCCAACAAGCTCTTGGCAGAATATAGATTTTTTTTTTTTTTTGTCATTTCCAGATTCCTTTCCCTGTAGTCCTCCCAACTACTCGCACCCACCTATTTTTTTTTTCTCCTCAGTGAAGGACAGCGTTTGCAGCAGCAACAGCACTTGAATTAACTTAATTTATTTTTCTGTGTGTTTGCAGAATGGTTCAAGGTCCATAGCAAGGTGAATCATTCTCTTATTATGCACACATTCTCAGACTGCAGAGGTCACCTAAGGGTAAAAGTACTGATTGCTGGGAGCCATTAGAATCCCCCTCCTTCTCTTCCTTTAGAAAGACAGGCAAGTCACAGGGCTACTTAATGCAAACACAGGAGATTGCTCTCAAACCACATAGTTAGAGGCAATTTCAACATATATATTTTGGGGAGATAATATATGCTAACAAGCATTTCTATACCTGCTTGGATGAACTAATAGTACTTAATTAACATTTGTGATAAATATGTCAGTTGGTAACACATTTTCCAAGAATGATAAAATTATGTTGTCCAGATTAAAATATTATTTTAAAAATCCTAATTTTGTCTTTAATTGACCAAAAATAGTTCTTTTAATTCAAGGCAAATTAAAGTTCATTTAAGTTTTTGTTGTAAGAAAATTATTTTCTCCTCTAGATCCCCTTTTTCTCAATGAGGGAAAAAAAAGAAAATTAAAGATGGCAAGAAAAATTTAAATTTTAAAGTATTTAAAGGTTGTTAACCAATTGAATATGAGGGTATTGAGAAAAAAATTCTGGATTTTCTGGATGAGTTAGTTGCATTTGGGGATCATGGGTGATCCTGGTTAACCAACTTCCCCAGGAGTGGATATTCCCCATGAGTCTGATTCACATCATAAGTAAGTCTTATACCCACCACCACCTGATGTTCAGGTAGTTTATTTTGGCAGTGCTCTTACAAGATGGACATCAGGAACACACCAGTGGCATGGGCCACATGCAGTCAGGGGTCAGATGACTTCCTGACTGGGAGGATCTCTGCCCTTTGGAGACCATTCTGAGTTTGGGGACTTCTTCCTTCTTTTTTATACCTGTTTTCAGTCTGGGCTAGTTACCAAGTGTTTCTATCATAAAGGGAATTTAAGCTATTCTTGTAAGGGTAAGCTTGTTTTAAGCTTCGTGAAAGTTGCATCTGTGCTAAGGGGATCTTGTCTCTAGGGCAAACAGGGTTTTTAAGTCCCATTGTCATATAGACCATGTAATCTTGGGGCCAGAGTTAGAAATTCCCAGACCAGGTTGCATCATACTACTAAGTGACACAGAATGTAGGCCTTGCAAGATGTTCGAATGGGCCTTATGGCTATCATTAATCTTGTAGCTACAAAATGTCTCTTATAGTATATTAAAATGTTCAAGTTGATAGTGTTACCATTAACTGAAGCAGAGAATATAAGAGGAGGAAGACTTGTGTAGGTTAGTACCAAGTAGGGCTTAGTTTGTAGATGCTTGTGTTGGAAATGTCCAACAGTCAGTTAGACGTGTTTCTTAGTAATGAAGGTGAACATTCATCCTATTGGTGCTAGAGTTATCTGACACATCTAATGTTTTAGGTCATAATCTTTTTTTCCCTTTCCACTTCTGTAACCCATCCAAAGTTGTGCAAGAAAATTACCTTTCCTGATATGAATAACACTTACTTTGATCAAAGACCTATTTAAGAGCTGCAGTCACTGTAAAGAGAAAACCCTATGGAATGGGAGAAAATACTTGCAAACCATGTATCTGATAAGAGGTTAATATCCAAAATGTATAAGGAGGTCACCTCAAGAATTTGAAAACAAAACACCAGATTAAGAAAATGGGCAGAAGATCTGAATAGACATTTCTCAAAAGAAGACATACAAATGACCAATAGGTGTATAAAAAACATGCTCAAAATCACCAATCAGCAGAGAAATTAAAATAAAAACCACAATGATATCAGCTTACACCTATTAAGATGGCATCTATGAAAAAAAATGAAAGATAACAAATGCTGGAGATGATGTAGAAGAAAGGGAACCCTTGAAAAAAATGGTAGAGATATAAATTAGTATGGCCACTATGAAAACCAGTATGGAGATGCCTCACAAAATTAAAACTGTAACTACCATATGATCCAGCAATCTCACTTCTGAGTGTGTAGACAAAGGAAATGAAATCAGTTTGTCACAGAGACATCTGCACCCCATGTTCATTACAGCATTATTCATAACAGCCAAGATATAGAATCAACCTAAGTATCCATAAATGGATGAATGGATAAAAAAATCTTATATGTACATAATGTAATACTATTTCACCTTTAAGAAGAAGGAAATCCTTCCATTTGCAAAAAACATAGATGAACCTGGAAAACATGTTAAGTGGAATAAACCAGGCGCAGAAAAACAAATACCACATGATCTCACCTACATGTGAAATCTGAAAAGGTTGTACTCATAGAAGTAGAAAGTAGAATGATGGTTTACCAGGGGCTGAGGGTTGCGGGTTGGTCAAAGGATACAAAATTTCAATTAGGAATAATAAGTTCAAAAGTTTTATTGCACAAGATGGTGACTATAGTTAATAACAATGTATTCTTGAAAATTGCTAAGAGAATAATTTTAAGTGTTCTCACCACAGAAATAAGTATGTGGGGTAATTCATATGTTAATTAGCTTAATTTAGCTATTCCATAAAGTATACGTATTTCAAAACAACACATACACAATATGTACAATTTTTTTGTCAATTAAAAAAAAGAGTTATGGTCACCTGTTAAAAAACTCCAACATGGGTCAGGAGTTCAAAAGTCAAAGCTGGTAATTTAGGCCTAGGAATTGTTTTATCCACAGTTCCACAAGATGGTGAATGGCAAAAGAGAAACTTGAAGACAATAATCAGTTCCACTCACGTACTTTATGAGCATAAGAGGCCAGGCGAGTCCCATAGGAAATGATACATCCAAACTAATCTTCCTCTTAGCATCTGTTTCCCTTCTGTTTCCTCATAGGCTACTGTCAGGGTGTGTGCTATGGTTAGCAGTCCACTTGTGTGGAGAAATCATCCAGGTCACGGGCGATTGTGATTAGCGTTACCAAGGATAAATATGTCTTTCATATGCATTATTAGAAGTAGGTAATATTTTGTTAAAGAATGAAATTTTCATGGGATGGTTGCTGGTGGGAAGAGAAGCACTTTCCAGGTACACTATGGGAGCTGTTATACATATGAGTCCTCAAAACTTGTGTTGGACCATGAGGAAAATGCGTTGTAATGAAGGAAAGGGATTGAAAGAAAAATAGTAGGCAATATATTTATTCAGTCAAAGCTGAATAATGGAGTAAAGGATAAAGAGTAGTCAGGGATAAATTAAGAATATGATTCTAAAACATTTTTCCAGTCTTACCTGATTTGGCTCATAGTATGTTTTTTATTTTCTATTGAGGAAGTTCTATCTTAGAAATAAAGATTATTTTCTTATGAAAACTCATGCAATTAGAGTTGGCAATAAACTATATTTGAGATACAAGACTTTACCTTTTTGAAAATAGGTTTAAGCATATCCCATTGAGATTGTATGATAACAGATGGTTGTTATGATCATTGTTTTCAATGTTTAATAGAATGTGACACTTGGTTTCAAAATGCTTATCAAAACATATGTATCTGCATAGGTAAATCTATTATGCATGCAGATATATATATATATCTGGTAATTGAAAATTAAAGAATTTTAGGAATCATAACTGAGTCTTTTTAGAACCATTAGTTTAGTACTTTGACTTTTTTCATTGATTATGCAACTTATTTCTCCAACCTATTATAGTAATGTTTCACACTTTATGAACCTGTTCATTTTCAGAAACTGCTTCTAGTGTTTGTAGAGCTAGCATCAGTAAAATGCAAAATCAGAGACAACTATCTTCTCTAATGTTGGATTTTTAAAGCACAAATATTGATGTTTGTATTTAACCAAACAAAAACAAAAATTTTAATCATTTTTATGTATAGCTTGTATTTCAAATTCTAGACAACTTCTCAATAATATATTTATTGTGCTTAGGAGAATTTCAATAGAATGATAAAAGCTGTATTCTAATATATGTTTATAGATATGCATATATATGTGTGTGTGTATATATATACACACACACATATATGTATTGAATTATAGAGATATCCTTGAGCCCATAATGCGTGACAGCAAAGCAGGTCAATTTTTTAAACAACAGTATTTCATTCAGTACCTTGGTGGCTGTAATTAACGTTTCTGTTTAGTTCTAATTATAGTTTTTGTATCACAGCCATTATGCTAATGGTGTTATTCAGTAGTATGTGAGATTGCATTCATTATCACTGGTGAATTAAACCTTTATTAAAGAAAAATTCCCACAGGCCTCATTCTGGAGTTAAGTAATTATTCATTTGGTTTTATCCTAGCAATTAGCTTATATACTGTAGCACTCATTATTGAGTTTCTATACCTCACTGAATGAGATTAACCTACCATGGTAAATAAAAGCCTAACAGCTCCCAAGCTCACAATGTGTTGCTTTTTAAGCAAATTATTATGTAACAAAATAAGGAATCAGAATGCATTAAAACAGCATTCTGTCTTCCAACAAATAATGTACTTGCTGAGAAGACTATGCTGGACATTTTGTGTTTAGTTCGAAATTTTAAAAAAATGCAGTTGAAGCCCTCCAACGCTAAGTTCACTGTTGTGGGTGTATGTTTTCCTTTGTTTAATTCCATTCCATTACCTCCTTGCTTGTTGAATTATGTTACTATGCCTATTTGATGTTGACAAAAGTGTAGTTCAATAGCACAGTCTCTAAATAGAACATCCAATTAGATCTCCGTTCCAAATGACTTTGAAGAGGGCTGATCATGAAAGTCTTTTAGCTAGATGGGACTTTGGAAATCACTAGAATTTGTTGATCTATAGTTTTAGTAAAAATATCTTAAATTACTGTTCTGTTTTTGCATAGCCATTCATGTCATCAAAAGGTCTACCTTCTCACTATTCTATATAAAAGGCTACTCACATTTTCAGATAATCACATTTATCAGCTGATGTTACCTTTTGAGATGAAGTGTCTAATATTACCTTTTCTCTTCTTGGGAATTATCTTAATCTACCTACTCTGCCTCTTTGATTTTTTTCTAGAATTTACTTAAAAAAATTGTTCCAAATTAAAGTTATCCTCAGGGACTGAAAAGAGGCGGTTATGACCCAATAGAGCCTTTTTGGGTCATATCTGACTATTTTCTGTCCCTAAGGAGAAAGTTGTCGCTGTTTTTACACTTTTCAATGTAGTCTGTAATCGATGTATACAACCTCAAAAACAGCAGCGTGAAGTGTGTTATGACAGCGATCTATCTGGAAAAATACTATTAACAACTTTACATAATGTATTTATGTTTCTGACCTACAAAGAAATTTATATGATGATAAACTTTGAAGTTTCAAATTTGGTTGTTTCAAATTCCAAGTCTATCCCAAATGTATTTTTGGAAAGTGAACAGTATTTTCAGATAAGATTTTTATCATTTTGAAATAGTTGGCTCATTTTAGCATAACTATATTTTTATGCCTGTTTTATAATCAGAATATTCCTCACAGTACTGATTCATTGGTAAATATGTGTAAGGCAAATTAATATATTTATTTCTGAATGTTTTTGTTTGTAATAGATAAATATTGCATAGTAACCCCACACTTTTCACATCAATGTAGACATTGAAATCCTTAACAGCATAACAATACCAATAAATTTATATGAAGAATTTTATATGGTAAACAAATAAAATATCATGATAAAATATGTTTAAATATTTTATACCTATCTAAATATCTTTAAAAAACACACACAGATGAAAATGGGCAGAGCAAGATGGCAGAATAGAAGCCTACACCATTCATCCCCCTAACCCCCTGCTGGAACACCAAATTTTAACAAGTATCTGCATACAGAAAAGCACCATCTGAAGAACCAAAAACCAGATGAGCAATCACAGTACCTGATTTTAATTTCATATCACTAAAAAAAGCACTGAGCTGGGCAGGAGAGAGAGAGAGTCTTGAATCGCCAGTATCACTCACCCCCATCTCCCAGAAGAGGCACTGCTACAGGAAGAGATAATCCTGTGCATTTTAAGGAAGGAGAGTGCAGTGACTAGGGGATTTTACAATGAACTCAGTGTTGCCCTGTCACAGTGGAGAATAAAGCCATGCAGTGCATAGCCTGCACCTGTGCACAAAGGGAGCACTTGGAGCTTACCTAGCCAGAGGGGAATAGCCCATCCCAGTGGTCAGTACTTGAGTTTCTTGGCAAGACTCGCCACCATGAGCTGAAGTGCCCTGGGGTCCTAGGTAAACTTAAAATGCAGCCTAGGACACAAGGACTGGAATTCCTAAACAGCTTCTAGTGCCAGGCTGAGCTTAGAGACAGTGGACTAAGGTGGCACGTGACAGGGAGACACCAACTGGCACAGCCAAGGGAGTGCTTACACCATCTCTCCCCCAATCCCAGGCAGTGTAGTTTGCAACAATGAAAGTGAATCCTTTCTGCTTAAAGAGAGGAAAGTGACGAGTAAAGAGGGCTTTGTCTTGCATCTTGGATACCAGCTCAGGCACTGTAAGATAGGGCACTGGGCAGAGTTGTGAGGTCCCTGTTCCAGGTTCTAGTTCCTGGATGTCATTTCTAGCCACACCCTGGACCAAAAGGGAATCTGCTGCCTTGAAGGGAAGGATCCAGTCTTTTCAAGATTTATCACCTGCTGACTAAAAAGCTCTTGGGCCTTGAATAACCAGCAGTGATACCAGGGAGTACACTGTGAGCCTTGGACTCTGAGACATGCTGGCTTCAGGAGTGACCCAGAACATTCCCAGCTGTGGTGTCTATGGTGAAAGACTCTTTCTGTTTGAGAAAAGCAGAGGGAAAAGTAAAAGGGACTTTGTCTTGTACCTTAGGTGCCAGCTTGGCCACAGTAGGATAGAGCAACAAGCAGGCTCTTGGGGTCTATGAGTCCAGGCCTAGGCTCTTGGACAGCATTTCTGAATCTTCCCTTGGCCAAAGGGGAGCCCACTGCCCTGAAGGGTGAGCCCAGGCCTGGGAACATTCACTACAACCTGAGGAAAGAGCTCTTGGGCTTTTTTGTTTGTTTGTTTTTGGAGACGGAGTCTTACTCTGTCACCTAGGCTGGAGTGCAGTGGTGCAATCTTGGCTCACTGCAACCTCCACCTCCTGGGTTCAAGTGATTCTCCTGCCTCAGCCTCCTGAGTAGCTGGGATTACAGGTGCACACCACCACACCTGGCTAATTTTTGTATTTTTAGTAGAGACATGGTTTCACCATTTTGGTCAGGCTGACTTGAACTCCTGACCTTGTGATTCACCTGCCTCAGCCTCCCAAAGTGCTGGGATTACAGGCGTGAGCCACAGTGCCTGGCCGAGCTTTTGGGCTTTAAGTGAACAGAACCCCAGTGGATTGGTGGTGGTGGTGGCAACAGGGAGAGGATCCTCTGCCTGTGGAAACTGGAGGGAAGAGTGGGAAGGACTTTGTACTATGGTGTGGGTGCCAGCTTAGCCACAATACAATAGAATGTCAAGTAAAATGCTAAGGTTTTTGATTCCAAGCTCTGGACTCCAAATAACATCTCTGGACACACAGATAGCATCTCTGGACACACCCAGGGCCTGGAAGAACTTGATGCCCTGAAGAGAAGGGCCTTGAGCAAGATCAAGTGCTGTGTTGGCTTCAGGTCTGACTCAGCACAGTCATAGTGGTAGTGATCACAGGGATGCTTGTGTCAGTCTACCTCCAGCATCAGGTGGCTCAGAACAGACAGAGAAAGAGAGAGAGAGAGAGAGAGAGAGAGAGAGAGAGAGAGAGAGAGAGACTCTGTTTGCTTGGGAGAAAGTAAGGGAAGTGAACAAGAGTCTCTGCCTGGTAACCCAGATAATTCTTCTGGATCTTATCCAAGTCCACCAAGGTGATACTTCTATGAGTATGCAAAAATCACAGCATTATTGGGCTAATTGTCCAAGTCTCTTTGAATACCTGGAAAGCCTTTCCCAAAATGGCAGCCCAGACTGTGAAGACTACAATAGATACCCAACTCTTCAATGCCCAGACACTGAAGAATATCTTCAAGCATCAACACCATATAGGAAAATATGGCCTTGCCAAATAAACTAAATAAGACACCAGAGACCAATCCAGGATAAACAGAGATCTATGACCTTTCAGACAGAGAATTCAAAATAGGTGCTTTGAGGAAACTCAATTCAAGATAACATAGAGAATGAATTCAGAATTCTGTCAGATAAATGTAACAGAGATTGAAATAACCTAAAAGAATCAAACAAATTCTAGAGTTGGTAAATGGAATTGACATGCAGAAGAATGAATCAGAGTCTCTTAGTAGCAGAATTGATCAAGCAGAAGAAGGAATTAGTGAGCTTGAAGACAGACTATTTGAAAATACACAGTCAGAGGAGACAAAAGATAAAAGAATAAAAAACAATAAAGCATACCTACGAGATGTAGAAAATAGCCTCAAAAGGACAAATATAAGAATTATTGGCTTTAAAGAGAGGTAGGGGAAGAGATAGGAATAGAAAGTTTATTCTAAGGAATAATATCAGAGAACTTCCCAAACCTAGAGAAAGATATCAACATTCACATATAAGAAGATTATAGAACACCAAGCAGATTTAACCCATAGAAGACTAACTCTAGGAGTTTGAAAATCAAACTCCCAAAGGTCAAGGATAAAGGATCCCAAAAGTATCAAGAGAAAAGAAACAGATAACATACAATGGAGCTACAATATGTCTGGCAGCAGACTTTTCACTGGAAAACTTACAGGCCAGGAGAGAGTGGCATGACATATTTAAAGTGCTAAAGTTAGAAAGAAAAACAGAAACAAAAAACTTTTACCCTAGATTAGTATATTTGGTGAAAATATCCTTCAGGCATGAAGAAGAAATAAAAACTGTCCCAGATAGATAAAAGCTGAGGGATTTCATCAATACCAAATGTACCCTACAGGAAACACAAAGGGGAATTCTTTAATCCTAAAGAAAAGGATGTTAAAGAGCAAGAAAAAATCGTCTGAAGGTACAAAACTCAAGCACACAGAATAACAGAATAGTATAACACACCAACTGCTGTGTGTAAGCTATTCTTGTCTTAAGTAGAAATACCAAATGATGAACCAAACAAAAATAGTAACTACAACCACTTTTTAAGACTTAGTACGGTAAGACATAAAGAAAAACAGCCAAAAGTTAAAAAAAGGGACAAAATTAAAGTGTAGAGTTTTTAATTTTTTTTGCATGTTTGTTTGTTTCTATATGCAATCAATGTTAAGGTGTCATCAGTTTAAAATAATGGGTTATAAGAGAGTATTTGCATGGCCTCTGGTAACCTAAAATTGAAAAATATACAATAGATACACAAAAAATAAAAAGCAAGAAATAATACCACCGGTGAAAATCACCTTCATTGAAAGGAGGACAGGTGGTGAAGGAAACAGAAAAGACTGAAAAACAACCTAAAAAACAAATAACAAAATGGCAGGAATAAGTCCCTACTTATCAATAATAACATTGAATGCAAACTGAGTTAACTCTACAATCAAAAGACATAAAGCGGCTGAATGGATGAAAAAACAAGACTCAATGATCCATTGTCTATAAGAAACATACTTCACCTGTCAAGATACACACAGGCTGAAAATATGTATTTCAGGGATGGAAAGAGATATTCCATGCCAATGGAAACAAACAAACAAAAAAAGAGCAGGAGTAGCTATACCTATATCAGATGAAATAGATATCAAGACAAAACAAATTTCAAGACAAAAACTGTAAGAAGCGACAAAGAAGGTCACTACATTATGACAAAGGAATTAATTTAGCAAGAGGATATCATGATTGTAAATATATATGCATCCAAACTGGAGCACCCAGATAGATAAAGCAAATATTATTGGAGCTAAAGAGAGAGATAGGCTCCAATACAATAACAGCTGGAGACCTCAACACCCCAGATTCAGCACTGGATAGATCTCACAAACAGAAAATAAACAAAGAAAGCTCAAACTTGATTTGCACTATAGAAAAAAATGAACTAGTAGATATTTACAGAACATTTCATCCAATGGCTACAGAACACACATTATTTTCTTCAGCATATGGACCCATCCCAAGGAGAGACCATATGTTACGTCACAAAACAACTCTCAAAGCATTCCAAAAAACTGAAATAACATCAAGCATCTTCTCTTCCCACAATAGAATAAAACTAGATATCAATAACTAGAGGAATTTTGGAAACTATACAAACACATGGAAATTAAACAATATGCCTCTTAATGACTAGTGGGCCAATGAAGGAATTCAGAAGAAAATTGAAATATTTCTTGAAACAGTTAGTAATGGAAACTCAACATAAAAAACCTATAGGATACAGCAAAACCAATACTAAGGAGGGAAATTTATAGCTATAAGAACCTGCATCAAAAAGAAGAAAAACTTCAAATAAATATCCAATAATATACCTTTAAAAATTAGAAAACCAAGAGCAAACCAAACTCAAAATTAGGAGAAGAAAAGAAATAATGATGGTCAGAGCAGAAATAAATGAATTTGAAATGAAGAAAACAATACAAAAGATCAATGAAACAAAAAGTTTTTTTGCAAAGATAAAGAAAATCAACAAACCCTTAGCCAAACTAACTACAAAAAAGAGAGAAGATGCAAATAAATATTAATAAAATCAGTGATGAAAAAGGAAACATTACAACTAATACCACAGAAATTCAAAGGATTGTTAGTGACTACTATGAACAACTATATGCCAATGAATTGGAAAATTTAGAAGAAATGGATACATTCCTAGAAACATACAACCTACCAAGGTTGAACCATGAAGAAATTCAATACCTGAACAGACCAATAGGAAGTAGCTAGAATAAAGCCATAATAAAACATCTACCAGTAATGAAAAGCCTGGGACTCAATGGCTTCACTGCTGAATTATACCAAACATTAAAAAAAATACCAATTCTACTCAAACTGTTATGAAAAATAAGAAGAACATGTTTCCAAATTTATTATATGAAGACAGTATTACCCTGATACCAAAACCAAAGACACATTAAAAAAAAAAAGAAAACTTCAGGCCAATATCTCTGATGAATATTGATGCAAAAATCCTCAAAAAATACTGGAAAATTGAATTAAAAAATAAGTTGTAATGATTATTCATCATGACCAAGTGGAACTTATCCCAGGGATTCAAGGATGGTTCAACATATGCAAATCAACCAGTGTGATACATCATATCAACAAAATGAAGGACAAAACCATATGACCATTTCAATTGATTCTAAAAAAGAATTTCATAAAATTCAACATCCCTTCATGATAAAAAACCTCCAATAATTGGGTACAGAAGGAGCATACCTCAACATAATAAAAGCCATTTATGACAGACTCACAGCTAGTATCATATTGAAAGGGGAAAACCTGAAACCCTTTTCTCTAAGACCTGGAACATGACAAGGATGCCTACTTTCACCACTGTTATTCAACATGGCATTAGAAATTCTAGCTAGAGCAATCAGACAAGAGGAAGAAATAAAGAACATCCAAATTGGAAAGGAAGAAATCAAATTATCTTTATTTGCAGATGATGTGATCTTATATTTGGAAAAGCCTACAGACTTCACCAAAAAACTATTACAACTGAAAAACAAATTTCAGTTAAGTTGCAGGATACAAAGTCAACATATAAAATGTAGTAGCATTTCTATATGTCAACAGTGAACAATCCAAAAAAGACATAAAAAGCAATTCCATTTATAATAGCCACACATAAAATTAAATACCTAGGAATTAATTTAACCAGAGAAGTAAAGAGATCTCTATAATGAAAACTATAAAACACTGATGAGAAAAATTGAAGAAAACCAACCCCCCCAAAAAAAGGAAAGATACTCCATGTTAATGCATTGAAAGAATCACTATTTTTAAAATGTCCATACTACCCAAAGCAATCTACAGATTCAATGCAATTCCTGTCAAAATACCAATGACATTCTTCACATAAATTTTTTTTGGATCCTAAAATTTTTATGGAATCACAGAAGACCCAGAATAGCCAAAGCTGTCCTAAGCAAAAAGCAAAAAAAAAAAAAAAAAAAAACAAAACTGGAAGAATCACATTACATGACTTCAAAATATACCAAAGAGCTATGGTAACCAAAAGAACATGGTACTGTCATGAAAACAGACACATAGACCAATGGAACAGAATTGAAAACTCAGAAAGAAATCCACACACCTACAGTGAACTCATTTTTGACAAGCCAAGAACATACACTGGGAAAAAGACAGTCTGTTTAATAAATGGTGCTGAGAAAACTGGTTATCCATATGCAGAAGAATAAAACTAGACCCCTATTACTTGCTCTATACAAAAATAAAATCTAGATAGATTAAAGACTTAAATATAAGCCCTCAAACTATGAAACTACTACAAGAAAACATTGGGGGAAAATCTCTAAGACATTGGTCTGGGCAAAAAGTTATTGAGTAATACTCCACAAGCATAGGCAACCAAAGCAAAAATTGATAAATGGGATCACATTAAGTTAAAAAGCTTCTGCACAGCAATGGAAACAATCAACAAAGTGCAAACAACCCACAGAATGGGAGAAAATATTTGCGAACTATCCACCTGACAAGGGATTAATAACCAAAATATAGAAGGTGTTCAAACAACTGTCTAGGAAAAAATCTAATAATCTAATAAAAAATGGGCAAAAAAATTGAATAGCCATTTCTCCAAAGAAGACATACAAATGGCAAACAGGCATAGGAAAAGGTGCTCAATACCACTGATCATCAGAGAAATGCAAGTCAGAACTGCAATGAGATATCGTCTCACCCCAATTAAAATGGCTTATATCCAAAGACAGGCAATAACAAACACTAGCAAGGATGAGCTAAGGAACCCTTGTACACTATTTGTGGGAAGGTAAATTAGGAAAACCACTAAGGACAACAGTGTGGAAGTTCCTCAAAAATCTAAAAATAGAGTTACTATAGGATCCAGCATTCCCACTGCTGGGTACATACCCAAAATAAAGGAAATAAATATATCAAAGAGGTAACTGCACTCCCATGTTTATTGAAGTAGTATTAACAATTGCCAAAATTTGGAAGCAATCTAAGTGTCCATCAATGGATGAATGCCTAAAGAAAATGTGGTACTTATACACAATGGAGTAGTATTCAACTATAAGAAAGAATGAGATCCTGTCATTTGCAATAACACGGAACTGGAAGTCATTATGATAAGTGAAATAAACCAGGCACAGAAATACCAATATTGCGTGTTCTCACTTATTTATGGGATCTAAAAATCAAAACAGTTGAACTCATGGAGATAGAGAATAGAAGGCTGGTTACTAGAGGCTAGGTAGGGTAATGGGAAGGTGTGGAGGAGATGGGGATGATTAATGGGTACAAAAACAAAGAAAAAATAAATAAGACCTAGTATTTGATAGCACAACAGGGGGCTATAGTCAATAATAATTTAAGTGTGTATTTAAAAATAACTTTAAAAAGTGTAATTGGATTGTTTATTATGCATTGCATCCCTGCACCAAAATATCTCATGTACCCCATAAATATATACACCTACTGTGTACTCACAAAAATTAAAAAGAAAAAAACTAAAAAAAATGCACAATTGGTAAATCAGAGTGATGTTATGTGGATCTACCCATGGCATATTAATTAACAATGCTTATGATGTTTGAAGAGAAAACATTTTACATGTCAGTAGTCATATAAGATCATCCTTTAATATTGGACAATGGCTTTTCATTGCAAATGAGTTGCTCTTTGTACTTCATATATTGTCTACATGTGTATTCACACTTAATTTTTCTGGGTATTATCTTGTTTCCTGGTGGCAGTTTCTACTAAAGGTCTGGGCATATGACACATTATTTAATATAAGAGCTTTGGTATAATCTCTTGGGCCCCTGTCTTGGGCTCCCTATGCATGGCTGCCTTCCTCACCCAACTTGGGACCTAACTCACTGCACCAGGCTGTCCCTGGTTGGAGACCCCTCCTTGTCCTGCTCAGACTCTGCACTCCATCATCCCAGGCCAGAGATACTGTGGCTCTCCCTGCCTGGTGCAGATGTCTACCATACTCAGTTTCACCTAATGGCTTTAGATCTGACTTGTTCAGAAAGGGAAGGAAAGAAAAAGAAGGAGGAACTCCTTGAATTCTTAATGTGGCTTTGCCACTTAAAATTGGTGTGACCTTGTGAATTTTACTCTGTTTTTCAGGGTCCTCTTCTTTAAATGGAAATAATAAGAGTGCCTATTTCTTAGAGTTACTAGGAAGATCATATGAGTTCATACATGCCAAGCCCCTAGAACAGTTACTGACATAGTAAATAGTCTCAAATAATTGAGATTTGTAATTATTATCATTGGTATTATTTTAAAATTTAAGGGGTATGCCCAAATATTATAACTTTGGCCATGTGGCAGAATCAGGATCTATGATCTCTACCCCTAGAATGGTGTTTTTCCCTCTGTATACCATGCCATTTGAGAGGAATCTTTTGAAAATAAACGGTTCATCATGTTGCCTTTCTGTATCATACTTAAGCTAATAGGTTCAATGTAACCAGTCATTGTCATTAAGTTATTCAAATATGAATTACTGTGCTATCCTATAAAAAGTTTTCTCTTCTTGCGACACTTGTCCAAATTTTGAAGCAGAGTAAAACTGAGTGATTCTTTACTTCTAAAATATGGAATTATTGCCTCTTTTGATTCTGTCAAAAGTTTTTATTCTATTGAAAGGACTCTAATCATCATCAACTAATATTTATTAAATGATTTGTTAAGAATTTGGGGGGAGGACACAGTCCCTTCCCTCTAGGTGGTTGCATTTTATTTTGAAAAATAATAAGCATATATAATCCAAATGTCCTCAGTCATCATTAACCTATACATATGAATGAAATCACATTAATGTTAATATCCAAATTTCCCCTAATTATAACTAACTGATTTGGCTGTAAGGAGTTCCATACCTATCAGTATTTTCCTAGGAGTCCCTAGAAAGACTCTTGTAGATTCTCATGTACAGGATCGTTCCTGCTTGCCTCATGTCTTCAAATGCCTGAGGAAAGCTTAAGGCTACAGTGCTATTTCCTGCGTCTTGTCTTCTCCATGAAATTGCTCCAGTGTGTTTCCTGGTAGTCCAAATCTGCATAACTCTACAGGTATCAAATATGCTGTGTTCCCTCCAGGCCTCACTGAGCCAGAATGTTATTGTTTTTCATACCTTAATGGAAAGCATATCCCTCTCACTAATTATGTATCATGACATTCTTTTCACCTGGTACCTAAACTGTCGAGTTAGTGACCCATGCATCATCATGCCCTTTGCTATTTAGAAGTCCAACAACCCTTGTTCCAGGCTGGAGAATAGGCCCAGACTTTCAGAACATGGGAGTCTATGATATCTACAATCAACAGTCTCCAGTGTGTGCAATCTTGCACCTGCCATTACACAGGCAAGAAAGACAAGTCCTGTGGTCACTAGACTTGATGCCCATCTCCTCGCAAAGACTGTTAAACTCTTGCTCACTTATTTCAAGTCACACCGGCCTGGTTTGTGTTCTTTGACTAAGCCTCAGGGGCTTTTCATGTGCTTTTCACTCTATCTTAATAATAATAACAGCTAATACTAACTGTACACTAACTACATCCCTGGCAGTATTCTAAGTAATTTTAGGTGTTTACTTGTCTAATTCCACAAAACAACCCCATGAGATAAGTACTATTATTATCTTCATTTTATAGATTAATAAACAGAAACATAGAGCTTAAGAAATTTGCCCAGTGTCATACATTTGAAGGTTGAGAGTCAGAATTTGAATCCATGCCAGAGATCTCCACTAAGCAAGTCCTTCCTGTACAAGACCTTTCTTTGAGAGCTCTGTTCCATTTGACCATACCATTCACTCCTCCCACATGCATTTTTCCCCCCAGTATACCCTCTCATTTTTTGTCATCTCTGATATCCAGTTATTCCCTCCTGGGCAATTCTAACACCTACATGGATTTCTCCAACACACGGGCCAGGATATTCCTTGACCACTTCATTTACAGTGACCTATCCTTTGTTCCGCTTTAGCTACCCATTCTGAAAGCATAATTTCATCCTTGCCATTACACATACCTGCTCCATTTCTGTTTGCATTTACCTATGGGACAATTTGATTTAATGTCTGTCTTCTTCCAGCCCCCACCGGACAGTAAGCTCTGTGAGGGCAAGGACCATGTGGATTTTTACTTCCTTATATATACCAAGTTCCCAGCACAGTGCATGATACAGAGTAAATACTCTAAATATTCACCTCCTGGTTTTTCACATGTCCTCTCCCTCTTACCAGAGGGGAATTTCTGCTTTACAGGCTCCCTTACCCTTGTGCATATCAGCTGTTGTTTACAAGGCCCTGAGAGATCATAGCCTCCCAGTTCATCAGAAAAGGCCTGAGCGTCAGTCCTCATTTGGGTTTAGCTGAGACACAGAAAAAAATAGCTTCAATAGAAAGTAGTCTAAGATAAGCTCCAAATGAACATCATCAATTGATTTATCAAAGGTGGCAGGAAGGGCATTTGGACCTTTAGTTTTAACTTTATGTATTCAGCCATATTTCACAAAAACTGATGTCTTTTGATAGGTTTAAGATCTGTTGCTACTTATTTTACCCTTAATTTCTTATCTTTGGGGTGTGATTAAATAAAAATGAAGAGAATACAGGACAGTGCTGATGGCGTATAAGCTTCTATGTAGCCAGATGCCTTCCCAGGGGCCAGATTTCAGTCTTTCCTGTATTTGTGAGGCTCTTTTCAATGTGATTTCCGTTTAATATAAATTGTAAAATTCTATTCAAATGAAAGGTTGTTGTTATTGTACCAATAGGTATATTATTAAAGTACAACAGGACTCAGTGCCACTGATCTGAGATGGAGAAGGTTTTTTTTCTGATGAATGGGCAAGTTTACCCTCCAAGTGTGCATTTTCCTATACCTGACTCCTAAAGTTTCTTAAAACTAGTTTAAAGGAAAAAAATTAAGCATTTTTTCCCCTAGAGCTTAGACTAAATCTAGTCTGATAGATATATGGGATCCAGCCTCCTCTACCTTTCGGTTGATGTCTTTTATTAGACCTTTCAAGATAATGGTTTTTTTTTCCAGTTTACAAAGAATGTATTAATACAAACTTCTATTACTTTTACAAGCCTATAGTCCCAGTCTCTTCTTCTTTGAAGTAGACTCACATAGTGACCACACTGAAATCCATATATCCCAGTCTTACAACTTGTCACTTAAGCTTTAGTAATGGTTTGATCGCTTTCTGCCTTCAAAATTAAGTCATCTTACCTATATGATAATTTCATATTGTAATACAAATCCTTACTCATCATGGAGAATCTATACTCCTCCTGCCACTCTGGGAAACTTAAGTAAGGAAACTAAGATTCATTTTGAATTTCGTTTTCTGCCAGAAGACAAGTAGGCTGATGCATCTTCCCATACAAAAACTATTTACGCCTTTGTTATTTCTATCCAGTGCCCTGCCTTTCTCTTGCTGCCATAGATGTGCCAGTTTATTCATGCTTCGATCTGAAGTTGGTTCCTTCACTTGTGCCCTAGATTCAGCCCTATCTTTCCTTCTTAAGGCCATTACTACAGTAATTTTCATCTCTCTCTCCAAATCATTATTTTTTCTTTTTACTGGATGTTTCCTATCATTATACAAACATGCTATTATTCTTCCCATCTTAAAAAACCTTCACCTCTGTCATCTGCCACTTCTTTTGCAGCAAAACTTTCTTGAAAGAGTCATCCACGCTCATTGTCTTCAATTCCTCACATCTTATTCTCTCTGAAATACACCTTCCTACCCTGTCCCTCATGACTCCATCAAAACTGCTCATGTCAAGGTCACCAATAACCTTCATTTGGCTGACTCTAATGGCCAATTCTGTTATTATTTTACTTGGCCTATCAGCATGATATCCCAAAGTTGATCGTTCCCTTCCCTTTGATATATATTTTTTTAATTTTGTTGTTATTCAAAGACAACCCACTTTTTTGGCTTTCATCCTCTTTTCTCTGGTTTTTCATTCTCATTCTCCTTTGCTGATTCTGCTTCTTCTTCCCCCCTCAGTGCTACAAGACCCCAAGCCTCAGTCTTTAGCTCTCTTCTCTTTCTCTATTTCTACTGCCCCCATGGTGATCTCTTCCATTTTATGGCTCTAAATATCATTTATATGCTGTATATGCTGACTATGCCCAAATATCTAGTTCTAGCCCAGAGTCTCTCAACACCAGGATCACATATGTATCTGCCTATTCAATATCTCCATGTGGAGGTCTAATAGATTCTCTGGATTCAAACTGAACTCCTGATTATAGTCCAAATTGGCCCCACCTATATTCTTACCCATCTTAGTTAATGACAACTCCATCCTTCCAATTGCTTCAAAATCTGGAATCTGGGGACATCTTTGACTCCTCTCCTTCTCTCATCCTCACATCTAATCTGTCAGGAAAACCTATGGGCTCTACCTTCAATGATATTCAGATATGATTACTAACCTCTCCTGCCATGAGATAGTCTCATCCATCTTTTTACCTGGATTACTGCAATAGCATCCTCACATGCTGCCTTTGTGACCCTCTAACAGCACAGAATATTTTCGACACAGTAGCCAGAATGGTCTTTTCAAAATATGTTAGGTTATGTCTTTCCTAAAAACCCTTCCTCAGTTTCTCATTCAGCTGAGTAAGGATCAAACCTTTTCAATGGCTGTTAAACCCTTGCATTATCTGGCCCCCAAACCACTCTGACTCCAACTCTTATTACTTTCCTCCTCACTCTACTTCTAGCACACTAACTTCCCTGTTTTTTTGAACACCGTGGCCATTCACCAACTGTTTCTTCTTCCTAGGATGCTCTCTACTCAGATTTTCATCCAGCTAACTACTTCATCTCCTTTAAGTCTTAGCTCAAATGATACTTCTCAGTTACGTCTACTCTGTTTTTATTTTTTAATTATATATATTTATTTATTTATTTTTGAGACAGTTTCACTCTTGTTGCCCAGGCTGGAGTACAAGGACACGATCTCGGCTCACTGCAACCTCTGCCTCCCGAGTTCAAGCGATTCTCCTGCCTAAGCCTCCCGAGTAGCTGGGATTACAGGCACATGCTACCACACCTGGCCTTTTTTTTTTTTTTTTGTATTTTTAGTAGTGACGGGGTTTCACCATGTTGGCCAGACTTGTCTCGAACTCCTGACCTCAAGTGATCTACCTGCCTCAGCCTACAAAGTGCTGGGATTACAGGTGTGAGCCACTGTGCCTGGCCTAATTTTTATTTTTTTAAAGATATGGTCTTGCTCTATTGCCAGGCTGGAGTCCACTGAAGTCTTGAACTCCTGGGCTCATGCAGTCCTCCTGCCTTGGCCTCCCAAAGTTCTGGGATTACTGGCCTGAGCCACTGTGCTCAACCAGTTATGTCTACTTTGACTACTTTATTTTATAGTCCTCTCTCCTGATCTCTGTATGCCCTATTCCTTTTCCTTCCACTATTATCATTATTATTATTACTTTTCATAGTTACTGCTTTCTTTTTTTTTTGACTAGCAATCTTATTTATTTATTTTTATTATTATACTTTAAGTTCTAGGGTACATGTGCACAATGTGCAGGTTTGTTACATATGTATACATGTGCCATGTTGGTGTGCTGCACCCGTTAACTTGTCATTTACATTAAGTATATCTCCTAATACTATCCCTCCCCACTTCCCCGACACCACGACAGACCCTAGTTTGTGATGTTCCCCACCCTGTGTCCAATTGTTCTCATTGTTCAATTCCCAACTCTGAGTGAGAACATGCGGTGTTTGGTTTTCTGTCCTTGCGATAGTTTGCTGAGAATAATGGTTTCCAGCTTCATCCATGTCCCTACAAAGGACATGAACTCATCATTTTTTATGGCTGCATAGTATTCCATGGTGTATATATGCCACATTTTCTTAATCCAGTCTATCATTGTTGGACATTTGGGTTGGTTCCAAGTCTTTGCTATTGTGAAAAGTGCCATAATAAACGTACATGTGCATGTGTCTTTATAGCAGCATGATTTATAATCCTTTGGGTGTATACCCAGTAATGGGATGGCTGGGTCAAATGGTATTTCTAGTTCTAGATCTTTGAGGAATCACCACACTGTCTTCCACAATGGTTGAATTAGTTTACAGTCCCACCAACACTGTAAAACTGTTCCTATGTCTCCACATCCTCTCCGGCACCTGTTGTTTCCTGACTTTTTAATGATTGCCATTCTAACTGGTGTGAGATGGTATCTCATTGTGGTTTTGATATGCATTTCTCTGATGGCCAGTGATGATGAACATTTTTTCATGTGTCTGTTGGCTGCATAAATGTCTTCTTTGGAGAAGTGTCTGTTCATATCCTTCTCCCACTTTTTGATGAGGTTGTTTGATTTTTTTCTTGTAAATTTGTTTAAGTTCTTTGTAGATTCTGGATATTAGCCCTTTGTCAGATGGGTAGATTGCAAAACTTTTCTCCCATTCTGTAGGTCGCCTGTTCACTCTGATGGTAGTTTCTTTTGCTGTGCAGAAGCTCTTGAGTTTAATTAGCTCCCATTTGTCAATTTTGGCTTTTGTTGCCATTGCTGTTGGTGTTTTAGTCATGAAGTCCTTGCCCATGCCTATGTGCTGAATGGTATTGCGTAGGTTTTCTTCTAGTGTTTTTATGGTTTTAGGTCTAACATTTAAGTCTTTAATCCATCTTGAATTAATTTTTGTATAAGGTGTAAGGAAGGGATCCAGTTTCAGCTGTCTACATATGGCTAGCCAGTTTTCCCAGCACCATTTTTTAAACAGGGAATCCTTTCTCCATTTCTTTTTTTTTGTCAGGTTTGTCAAAGATCAGATCATTGTAGATGTGTGGTATTATTTCTGAGGGCTCTATTCTGTTCCATTGATCTATATCTCTGTTTTGGTACCAGTACCATGCTGTTTTGGTTACTGTAGCCTTGTAGTATAGTTTGAAGTCAGGTAGTGTGATGCCTTCAGCTTTTTTCTTTTGGCTTAAGATTGTCTTGGCAATGCGGGCTCTTTTTTGGTTCCATATGAACTTTAAAGTAGTTTTTTCCAATTCTGTGAAGAAAGTCATTGGTAGCTTGATGGAGATGGTATTGAATCTATAAATTACCTTGGGCAGTATGGCCATTTTCACAATATTGATTCTTCCTATCCATGGGCATGGAATATTCTTCCATTTGTTTGTGTCCTCTTTTATTTCGTTGGGCAGTGGTTTGTAGTTCTCCTTGAAGAAGTCCTTCACATCCCTTGTAAGTTGGATTCCTAGATATTTTATTCCCTTTGTAGCAATTGTGAATGGGAGTTCACTCATGATTTGGCTCTCTGTCTGTCTGTTATTGGTGTATAGGAATGCTTGTGATTTTTGTACATTGATTTTGTATCCTGAGACTTTGCTGAAGTTGTTTATCAGCTTAAGGAGATTTTGGGCTGAGATGATGGGGTTTTCTAAATATACAACCATGTCAGCTGCAAACAGGGACAATTTGACTTTCTCTTTTCCTAATTGAATACCCTTTATTTCTTTCTCTTGCCTGATTGCCCTGGCCAGAACTTCCAACACTATGTTAAATAGGAGTGGTGAGAGAGGGCATCCCTGTCTTGTGCTAGTTTTCAAAGGGAATGCTTCCAGTTTTTGTCCATTCAGTATGATATTGGCTGTGGGTTTGTCATAAATAGCTCTTATTATTTTGAGATATGTCCCATGAATACCTAGTTTATTGAGAGTCTTTAGCATGAAGGGTGTTGAATTTTGTCGAAGGCCTTTTCTGCATCTATTGAGATCATCATGTGGTTTTTGTCTTTGGTTCTGTTTATATGATGGATTACGTTTATTAATTTGTGTATTTTGCACCAGACTTGCAACCCAGGGATGAAGCCAACTTGATCGTGGTGGATAAGCTTTTTGATGTGCTGCTGGATTTGGTTTGCCAGTATTTTATTGAGGATTTTTGCATTGATGTTCATCAGGGTTATTGGTCTAAAATTCTCTTTTTTTGTTGTGTCTCTGCCAGGCTTTGGTATCAGGATGATGTTGGCCTCATAAAATGAATTAGGGAGGATTATTCTCTCTTTTTCTATTGATTGGAATACTTTCAGAAGGAATGGTACCAGCTCCTCTTTGTACCTCTGGTAGAATTCGGCTGTGAATCCATCTGGGCCTGGACTTTTTTTAGTTGCTAGGCTATTAATTATTGCCTCAACTTCAGAACCTGTTATTGGTCTATTCAGGGATTCAGCTTCTTCCTGTTTTAGTCCTGGGTGGGTGTTTGTGTCCTGGAATGTATCCATTTCTTCTAGATTTTCTAGTTTATTTGTGTAGAGATGTTTATAGTATTCTCTGATGGTAATTGGTATTTCTGTGGGATTGGTGGTGATATCTCTTTATCATTTTTTATAGTGTCTATTTGATTCTTCTCTCTTTTCTTCTTTGTTGGTCTTGCTAGAGGTCTATCAATTTTGTTGATCTTTTCAAAAAACCAGCTCCTGGATTCATTGATTTTTTGAAGGGTTTTTTGGGTCTCTATCTCCTTCAGTTCTGCTCTGATCTTAGTTATTTCTTACCTTCTGCTAGCTTTTGAATGTGTTTGCTCTTGCTTCTCCAGTTCTTTTAATTGTGATGTTAGGGTGTCAATTTTAGATCTTTCCTGCTTTCTCTTGTGGGCATTTAGTGCTATAAATTTCCCTCTACACACTGCTTTAAATGTGTCCCAGAGATTCTGGTATGTTGTGTCTTTGTTCTCATTAATTTCAAAGAACATCTTTATTTCTACCTTCATTTCGTTATGTAACCAGTAGTCATTCAGGAGTAAGTTGTTCAGTTTCCATGTAATTGAGTGGTTTTGAGTGAGTTTCTTAATCCTGAGTTCTAGTTTGATTGCACTGTGGTCTGAGAGACAGTTTGTTATAATTTCTATTACATTTGCTGAGGAGTGCTTTACTTCCGACTATGTGGTCAATTTTGGAATAAGTGTGATGTATTGCTGAGAAGAATGTATATTCTGTTGGTTTGTGGTGGAGAGTTTTGTGGATGTCTATTAGGTCTGCTTGGTGCAGAGCTGAGTTCAATTCCTGGATATCCTTGTTAACTTTCTGTCTCGTTGATCTGTCTAATGTCGACAGTGGGGTGTCAAAGTCTCCCATTATTATTGTGTGGGAGTCTAAGTCTCTTTCTAGGTCGCTATGGACTTGCTTTATGAATCTGGGTGCTCCTGTATTAGGTGCATATATATTTAGGATAGTTAGCTCTTCTTGTTGAATTGATCCATTTACCATTATGTCATGGCCTTCTTTGTCTCCTTTGATCTTTGTTGGTTTAAAGTCTTTTTTATCAGAAACTTGTATTGCAACCCCTGCTTTTTTTTTTTTCCATTTGCTTGGTAGATCTTCCTCCAACCCTTTATTTTGAGCCTATGTGTGTCTCTGCATGTGAGATGGGTTTCCTGAATACAGCACACTGATGGGTCTTGACTCTTCAACCAATTTGCCAGTCTGTGTCTTTAAATTGGAGCATTTAGCCCATTTACATTTAAGGTTAATATTGCTATGTGTGAATTTGATCCTGTCATTATGATGTTAGCTGGTTATTTTGCTCGTTAGTTGATGCAGTTTCTTCCTAGCATTGATGGTCTTTACAATGTGGCATGTTTTTGCAGTGGCTGGTACTGGTTGTTCCTTTCCATGTTTAGTGCTTCCTTCAGGAGCTCTTGTAAGGCAGGCCTGGTGGTGACAAAATCTCTCAGCCTTTGTTTGTCTGTAAAGGATTTTATTTCTCCTTCACTTATGAAGCTTAGTTTGGCTGGATATGAAATTCTGGGTTGAAAATTCTTTTCTTTAACAATGTTGAATATTGGTCTCCACTCTCTTCTCGCTTGTAGAGTTTCTGCCGAGAGATCCGCTGTTAGTCTGATGGGCTTCCCTTTGTGGGTAACCCGACCTTTCTCTCTGGCTGCCCTTAACATTTTTTCCTTCATTTCAACTTTGGTGAATCTGACAATTATGTGTCTTGGAGTTGCTCTTCTCGAGGAATATCTTTGTGGCATTCTCTGTGTTTCCTGAAATTGAATGTTGGCCTGCCTCACTAGGTTGGGGAAGTTCTCCTGGATAATATTCTGCAGAATGTTTTCCAACTTGCTTCCATTCTCCCCGTCACTTTCAGGTATACCAATCAGATGTAGATTTGGTCTTTTCACATAGTCCCATATTTCTTGAGGCTTTGTTCATTTCTTTTTATTCTTTTTTCTCTAAACTTCTCTTCTTGCTTCATTTCATTCATTTGATCTTCAATCACTGATACCCTTTCTTCCACTTGATTGAATCAGCTGCTGAAGCTTGTGGATTCGTCACGTAGTTCTTGTGCCATGGTTTTCAGCTCCATCAGGTTATTTAAGGACTTCTCCACACTGTTTATTCTAGTTAGCCATTTGTCTAATCTTTTTTCAAGGTTTTTAGCTTCTTTACGGTGGGTTCAAAATCCTCCTTTAGCTCAGAGAAGTTTGTTATTACCGATCGTCTGAAGCCTTCTCTCAACTCGTTGAAGTCATTCTCTGTCCACCTTTGTTCCATTGCTGGCGAGGAGCTGTGTTCCTTTGGAGAAGAGCCAATCTGATTTTTAGAGTTTCCAGTTTTACTGCTCTCATTTCTCCCCATCTTTGTGGTTTTGTCTACCTTTGGTCTTTGATGATGGTGACGTACAGATGGGTTTTGGTGTGGATGTCCTTTCTGTTTGTTAGTTTTCCTTCTAACAGTCAGGACCCACAGCTGCAGGTCTGTTGGAGATTGCTGGAGGTGAACTCCGACCCTGTTTGCCTGGGTATCACCAGCAGAGGCTGCAGAACAGCAAATATTGCAGAACAGCAAATGTTGCTGCCTGATCCTTCCTTTGGAAGCTTTGTCTCAGAGGGGCACCTGGCTGTATGAGGTGTCAGTTGGCCCCTACTGGGAGGTGTTTCCCAGTTAGGCTACTCGGGGGTCAGGGACCCACTTGAGGAGGCAGTCTGTCTGTTCTCAGATCTGAAACTCCATGCTGGGAGAACCACTACTCTCTTCAAAGCTGTCAGACAGGGATGTTTAATCTGCAGAAGTTTCTGCTGCCTTTTGTTCAGCTATGCCCTGCCCCCAGAGGTGGAGTCTACGGAGGCATGCAGGCCCCTTGAGCTGTGGTTGGCTCCACCCAGTTTGAGCTTCCTGGCTGCTTCCTTTTACCTATTCAAGCCTCAGCAATGGCGGACGCCCCTCCCCCAGCCTCGCTGCTGCCTTGCAGTTTGATCTCAGACTACTGTGCTAGCAGTGAGCAAGGCTCCGTGGGTGTGGGACCCTCTGAGCTATGCGCGGGATATAATCTCCTGGTGTGCCATTTGCTAAGGCCATTGGAAAAGCACAGTATTAGGGTGGGCGTGTCCTGATTTTCCAGGTACTGTTGGTCATGGCTTCCCTTTGCTAGGAAAGGGAATTTCCTGACCCCTTGTGCTTCCTGGGTGAGGCGATGCCCCGCCCAGCTCCATGGGCTGCATCCACTGTCTGACAAGCCCCAGTGAGTTGAACCCAGCACCTCAGTTTGAAATGCAGAAAACACCCATCTTCTGCGTCACTCACGCTGGGAGCTGCAGACTGGAGCTGTTCCTATTCGGCCATCTTGGAGCCTCCCCCTAGCAATCTTCCATATTTACTGCTTTCTAACATGCAATAACAGATATTTTTCATTTGCCCCTTCAGTGCCATTCACCCTACTCTGTGCCCTGCATTGATGAAATGTATAAACAGCATCAACAGGCTCCTTAGTCCTTTGGGTTCCAGTTAAGTATAGCCAATGGGAGGCAGCAACACTAGATCTGAAGGCAGAAGAATAATGAAGTTGGAATATTTATTTCTCCAGCAACCTCACTGCTGTGTCTGTCTCTACCAGTTAGCTGCATTGCTCTACTAAAACCCACAGCTCCTATCAGACAGACTTTTCTGGATTCTGATAGCTATGCTCTTCACTTGTTCCATCCAGCCTACTGGTATAGCAAGACCTTGAAATTTCTAGTCTGGGAATTCTGCATGAGGCTTGGTTGGTTTTCCTAAATCTTGCCCTTACCTTTTAAAAGAGGTCTTTTCATTAAACTTTTTATTAAGTATGTCATGTTTCCAACTGAAGTCCTAGCTGAAAAACATACAAGCAATTTACTTATTTATCATGTTATTTATTGTCTGCATTTCACAACAGGGATCTTTGCCAATTTTGTACATGGATGCATCCCTAAAACCTAGAACAGTGCCCGGGACATAGTATATACTCAATACATATTTGTTGTTATTACGAATAAACAAATGAATTAAGGATTCTCATTATGCCTTTTCTCCCTCTTCTAATAATGTGGTTCCCAACACTCTTAACTTATTTGATTTGAAATATTCTCCCAAATTTAAGATTACAGCATCTCAGCTTTGGAAGAGATTTTTGTAGGCATCTATTCTTCTAGTGATTATTCCTGAAAAGTGGTTTCCTGAAAAGGTGTTGCCTGTCCACATGTTGAGTGATAGCACACTATTGCCTGTTACAGAATATTTTCACTTTCAGACATTACTAATTATTAAATTTGTGCTATGGTCTGAAAATATGTGCCCCCCCAAAAGAAATTCATATATGCAAACTTAACCTCCAACATTATGGTATTAATGGAGTGCTTTTAGAAAGTAATTAGGTCATGAGGGCCCCGGCTTCATGAATGGGATTAGTGCCCTTAGAAAAGAAGCTGGAGGGAGGCTTTTTGTCCCTTCTGTCTTGTGTGGATGCAGCAAGAAGGTTTTATTTCTGAGGAACAGACCTTCACCAGAGACTGAATCTGCTGGAACCTTGATCTTGGACTTCCCAGCTTCCAGAACAATAAATTCTGGGAAGTAAATTTTGTTGTTTTTAAATTAGCCAATCCAAGGTATTTGTTGTCACAGCCTGAACATATTAAGACAATATGTTATTAAATTGAATGAAAATTCTCTGTTGAGATTTACATTCTTTTCTCTTAATTCTACCTTCCAAAGTTACAGGGACAAATCTCATCTGTCTTCCCACTGGCATTCTTGCTAACAATTATAGACAGCTATCATGGCTGTCTGCATTTTTGCTCCTCTTGAAAATAAGCATTGCCAACTGTTTTCTCATAAGTAGTCCATGCTAATCCTAGGAGACTTTTTAATATTTCTCCTGATAAAAATTCCACAAAAAGTGTAATGCACAGATTTGAGTATACAATTTCAGATGTGGCTTGACCCATGCAAAAGAGATCAGAACAGGAATCTCCCCTTATCAGATTATTACACTTCTGTTAGGGAAAACTAAGCTCCATTAATTGAACATTATTATTGTTATTGTTAGACCTCAATTATGATCCAAAATGAAGAAAGTCTCTTGGGTTCTATGATATATTCAGTGTACTTCCTTCACTCAACTGGCTTACAGCCTAGTTGGAAGAGGCTGGACAAAGAAACAAATAAGAGTAGTGATGTGTCCTAGCTGATATGATAGAAGTGTGCATATTATCAGCATTGTTCACAGCTATGTCGCAATGTTGATGAACAGCAGAATTATTTGTTATGGTGATAAAGATGTATTGAGTCAGCTGGGTTTTAGTTCTAGTTTACTCAATGCTATTAATCAGTGTGCTTTTTGAAAATTTGGTGAGCACAACAATATTTCAACTGTTTCAATATGCACTTCTCTGATTATAAATAAGGTTGACACCCTGCCACCTCTGCAGTGTATCCTCCTTGATTTCATGGAAACTGGTGACATGAGGGCAGTCCTCCCTGTGCCACCTGACAGTTCTCTACCATGCCATTAGGAATCATTCCCTACTATTTTTTTTTCTCCATTCCAGTAGCACAGAGGCAGATCAGTAAGCATAGTGGCTAATACATGGCCAACTAGAAACAAAAAAAAAACTTTTTTTTTTCCTTCTTGAAGAAGCCCTGATTATTTACAACCAATTTTCTGGAATCTTTTTCATTTGACTTGGGAGAGGGTCCTACAAGTAGGTGAGAAGAAGGAAATATTTTCTTTCTCCCCTCAAAATGGCTTTCTCTCAAAGGCACCTTCATTTCCCCCAGTTGTGGTGGTGGTGATTGTATAGTGGGGTGAAAGTTGAGTTAGTACTTGATCCACAGTATATATCTCTCAGCAAGCTCTTTGGGGAGATAGTTTCAACAGCATAGCTTTGTGTACTTAGAATGCAGTTAATCAGCCTTTTTTCGGTACTCATCTGGGAGCCCTAGTTACTAGTTTTGTCCCTTGGCTCCTAATATCATCCTATTGTATTGAGAAACACTGTCTAGTGGCTGTGCCACAAGGGCCTATGTGTAGCTTGAGGAACAATGAAAAATTTCTGTATTATTTATATAAATTATGCTTGTCCAGCTACATATCTTACATCTTCTGTTAATCAATTGATTAAAAAAAACCAAAATGTATTACTACTTTGCTCTTCATAGAAATTTATCTGATTTATATTCAATAATGTAAAAAAATCTTATATAAAAACTAGCATCTAAATATCATTTTTCTTGACATATCATCTTGAATGTGTTATCAATCCTGTTGTTAATAGTTTGGGCACTTGTGTAAGCTGGTTAGTGTCATACAATGAAAATAAAATGAAGGCAGAAGTAAAATAATAATATGCATGGTTTTCTTCTCTTTGCAGGTCTATGTACACACTCTTCATCTAGACTTCATAACTATTCCTATTTAAATTTGTATTGTGATTTACATTTCTAAGCTATCAAGAAGTTAGGATCTAGATCTGTGCTATCCAAAATAATATCCCATTAATCAAAAATTTTTAAATTAAAAATTTAATTCCTTTAGTCACATTAGCCATATTTTACGTACCTGAGAGGCACCAGTTGATAGTGGCTACCAAATTGAGTGGCACAGATATAGAACATTTCCATCATTCCACAAAGTTCTGTTGAGTAGCACTGATCATGGAGAACTGGAACCTAGGGATAATGTAGATCCCCTAGGTCAAGCAAGGTGATCTCAAAAGGTCAAAAGGTCTCAAAAGGTCCCGTCAAAAACAATACTTGGAGGTACATTTGGGCAAGTTTGCCATATGGTAAGCAAGGCATGATGCCTGAGGATAATGGTAGTGGCAGTAGTCACATGGCAAGATGGCAAAATCAGACAAACCTGGCAAGAAAGAAACCTTAGGGGCCAGGGGCTTAGTCCAGAGGGCTCTGGCAAGATCAAAGCAGGAGAGCTTCTAATCCTAGACAGGACTGGAAATATACAAGATACTCTGTCAAGAATTTAGTTTGCGGGATAGGAAGGATCTGAATCCTGGATTTGGAGTGAATTTAAGATAGAGATTGAGATTTATTTAAGTGGACCTAGTCTAGAAACCAACATATAATCTCAGATTAAGCTAGCGTTAAGAGTAATCCAGCTTCCCCAATTAAGAATGTGGTACACAGCACAACCCTTACGTAGAGTTGTGTCCTTTCTGTCAGGTGGGAGGTATGAACATTCTGAGTCAATAGTTCATTTTAGTTAGCCGAGTAGCAGAATTACATATACAGTAAGAGGAAAAAGATGGATACCACAAAGCTTTATAATTCTACCTGTGTACCTAACCTGGAAAGAAATGTGCTGTTTACTCTAACTTTTTATCTGAAGAGCTACTGCTTTGATATTCAAGTTTTCTTTCAAAATAGCATGATTCAAAACTTTCGAAAAAGGTCCTACTTATTGAATCTCCTAGGATTGTTTTCATGTTTTACTTCTGAACATTTTTATAAAGCTAAGTCTCAGTTATTTCTCCAGAAATGTTGAACATCTGGTATGACAATTGTAATCATTCTTTTATATTCATTATGATTTTAATTTTGATTCTCAGCTATCATATTTTGAAATACCATATTTGCTTTAAGTTACCTAATCAAAATGTTATAGGCATCTTGTAAAGAACAATGAGTTCATTTTAAAGGGAAACAAAATAAAAACCCATATGCTTAGTATTGAGATAGTAGTTACAATAATGCACTATTTAGGGACTTTTAATTTAGCCATCACAATTTCATAACCAATTGTTCCCCATTCCTCAGGGATTCAGAATATGGTTTCCATGGTAATTCTGAATTTTGAAAAGACTCATCTTTGCCCTAAATGGAAGGTAAATAGTTTGAATAGAAAACGACCTGTCTGTTAGCTAGGATTATACTTTAGTGTTGCAGGAGAGAGAAACACACTACCCATTTAAAAATAGATGAGTTTCAGGGCACCATAATACATTCAACGTCTCTAAAATCACAACCCCTTGATTGCTAGTGTTAACGAAAGCTTGTTCTTTAATTACCTATATTGCATTCGGCTTCTGTTTCCTTCCAAAACCCAATTATGGTTAATAGCAGCAGTAAGCTGCACTCTTCTTGTTTATGGCAGTTCATTTTAAAGTGCTCTGTTTGATCATCATTTGTCTTCACGACTTGACAAATCAGGTTCAGATTTTCATTGGAGAACCCCATAGGCTTCACCTTGCACATGTGTATAAATGGAATTCTTATATAATGCGAATGTCTTTTTAAAAAATTTTTCCTAACCAGAGGCTGTTCCCTAAATATTGGGAATCATGCTATTTTTACAAGTTCTTACTAATGGTCTTTTCAATGCAATAATTCCAATACCCCACAACAAACGGATATTTAAAATTTGTAGAAAAGGGACAGAGAACTTTTATTTATCCCTTCCTCCTACAAATCCATTTTCTCCCAGTGTGCTGTTCATTGCCTAATCATTCTCTGCAGCTCAGATTTGTATGTTCTCCTGCAGAGACTAGCAGTCTGCCTTCTAGAGTTGAATCCAGAATAATTCAGCAGTCTAATTTCTGATTTAATTTTGCTGCTCTCCAACTGTGGTGTAAACCCAGCTCTGAGAATTGAATGCAATTTGTAGCACTTTGCCTCAGCTGAAAATACTTATGTCTTTATTCCTCATTCTCACCAGAATCATTATTTCCATGATAACTAATGGGTCCCAAGTGGAAAAAGGAGAAAAAGACACATGTAAGGTAAATAGGAAAAGACAGGAATTCAAACAGTAGGAAATACTCCTATTGCTGTATTGAAAATTAACTTCAATTTTGTACTGTTTTATGTAGGTGGTAGGTGCTGTTGTAGAGATGGGAAAAGATGAGTAGTTTTTCATTTGCATCTATTCCTCTAACACTCCATCCTCTACCTCCTATGTTTTTAGATGGTCAGGGAAACACATGGACAAGAGGACAGTGGGCTTGGCCTTCCATTCTGTGTAGTTATTTATCATTATTTTGACTGAGTCATTTTCTTTCTGAAGAAGTATCATTATTCTGCTTTTGGTCTATCCCCAAAAAAGCCCCTCTTCTTGCATTGGCAAACCAGCCCTGGAGAAGCTTTCCACTGAGTGTGCGGTGGTATCCGCTACATTGATGTCACTTGGGCTTATGTTAGAAGTGCAGAATCTCAGGCTCCACTCCAGACCTACTATATAATGACCTGCATTTGTGCAGCACAGATACAGAACATTAACAAATTTCCAAATAATTCATAGATCACTCAATATGTATTACATATAAAACCTTTTTAAGTACAGTATATTGATAGAGGTAATAACATATATGTAATACATAAAGCCTGTAAAAGCACCTGATTTTTATAGGATAGGATAGGGGACCCCAACCCCCAGGCCACAGACCAGTACTGTTAAGACTAATCCAAGTTTTGATAAAATTCAATCTTTTCTAATAAAAATTTCTTCTGTTGAAAATGATCCATACTGCCAGATATAGTGTCAGGATATTTATATATATATATACACACTATATATATATAGTATTCCTTTAGTTTTATTGGCTTCAAGTTGCCATTGATAAGAAATTTGCCATATTGGAATCTTTCTCCCTTTTAAAAAATTAATTTCAATATTGAAAAGACAATCAAAGGTGATTTTTTTTCATGTTCTTTTTCTTTCTTTCTTCTTCTTGTTTTTTTTTTTTTTGGAGACTGGGTCTTGCTCTGTTGTCCAGACTGGAGTACAGTGGCACAATCACAGCTCATGGCAGCCTCGACCTCCCAGGCCCAAGCAGTCCTCCCAGCTTAGCCACCCAAGTAGCTAGGACTACAGGCACATGCCACCACACCTGGCTGATTTTTGTATTTGTTTGTAAATATGGGGTTTCACCATGTAGTCATGTTTGTTTTTACATTTTCTAATCTAGGTTGTTTTAAACAAAGACAGATATTCATAAGCATAGTGGGTTTTAAAGTTCCTATAAAGGGGAAATAATTATTGATATCATAACCTTGTAAAAGTGGTCATTAGATGTTACCTTACCATAAACAATAGCATTCCTTGTGACTCTTTAGCTGTTTGGAGTAAAACACTACTTTGATGAATTTTTTTTTTTTTTTTTTTTTTTGAGATGGAGTTTTGCTCTTGTTGCCCGGGCTGGAGTGCAATGGCACGATCTTGGCTCACTGCAACGTCTGCCTCCTGGCTGAAGTGATTCTCCTGCCTCAGCCGCCTGAGTAGCTAAGATTACAGGCGTGTGCCACCACACCCGCCTAATTTTGTATTTTTAGTAGAGACTGGGTTTCTCCATGTCTGTCAGGCTGGTCTCGAACTCCCGATCTCAGGTGATCTGCCCACCTCAGCCTCCCAAAATGCTGGGATTACAGGCATGAGCCACCGTTCCTGGCCAATGACATTTTGACATTGATTTTTTTTAAGCAGAAAAATTTTAGTGTGTAACACTAGTATGCCAAGGGGACCAATGGGATCTTTGAAAATCAGTACCTCATTTTGTTTGAAAAGCAGACTCCTTTATTCCATTAGATATAAATATTTTCCAATTATTGTCAGTACCTTTTGTTCTACATGGCAAAGATGGGTATTAAAAAGCATTACAGCTTTCTGTGTCCTCTGGTAAATTCATACGTTGTATCATTTGATCCTTTCTTCCTTTTTTTGCCTTTCTTCCTTCTGATCTTCCTTTATTTTTTCCCTTTCTTTCTTCTTTCAAAATATTACTATTGATCCTCTTATGTGATGCTCTACCTGTTACCAAGATAAAAATTTTAATCACCAATTCCAGAGACTTTGTAACCTGAGGCAACATAATTATGTTACTCAAGGTAATTTAAACATTTCTTTGGTAATTCTAGAGTAGACATTATACAGCTAAAAATATGCTATATATGTCCTCATCTGTTTCTAAAACCTTGAAACAGTTAAAATTAGATTATGAAATTTTTTAATGGGTAGACACTATCAACAGAGTAAGAAGACAACCCAAAAAATGGGAGAACATATTTGCAAATCATGTATCTTATAAGGGGTTCATATCTAGAATACAGAGAACTCTAAAAGGTCAACAACACAAAAACAACCCAAGGCAAAAATGGAAAAATGACTGGATTAAACATTTCTCCAAAGTAGATATACAATGGCTAATAAGCACACGAAAAGATGCTTGACCTTACTAATCATTAGGGAAATGCAAATCAAAACTACGATGAGATACCACTTCATACACATTAGGATGGCTACTATCCAAAAAACACAGGAGACAAAGAGTGTTGGTGAAGATGTGGAGAAATTGGAACCCTTGTGTACCGTTGGTGGGAATGTAAATGGTATATAGCCTCTGTGGAAAACTGGCAACTTCTCAAAAAATAAAAATAGAATTATATGATATGATCCAGCAATTCCACTTCTGAGTATTTACTCAAAATAATTGAAAGCATGGTCTTAAAAAGGTATTTGTTCAACCCACGTTCGCAACAACATTATTCACAGTAGCTAAAATGTCTATTGATGGGTAAATGGATAAGCAAAATGTGGTATATACATATAATGGGATATAATTCAGCCTTAAAAAGAAAGGAAATTCTGGAATATACTACGACATAAATTAATCTTGAGGACATTATGCTATGTGAAATAAGCCAATCACAGACAGATTCTGTATAAGGAACTTAGAACGGTCAAAATCATAGAGATAGAAAGTAGAATGTTGGTTGCCAGGGGCTGGGGGAGGAGAGAGTGGGGACTTATTGTTTAATGAGTCTAAAGTTTCAGTTTTACAAGATGTAAAGAATTCTGGAGATAGATGGTGGTGATGGTTGTACAACATTAAAAATGCATTTAATACCACTCAACTGTACATTTAAAAATGGCTAATATGGTAACTTTTATGTTATGTGTATTCTACTACAATAAAAACATTGGGAAAGTTGGGGAAAAGGGGTGTGTGCTTCATTTTTGCAATTACTTCTTCACTGTTCTCTTTTCAGTTAATTCAACAGCCAACATTTAGTGATTACCTGCCAAGTGCCAGGCACTGGCAAGGCAGAAGTGAATGGCTGAGAGACACATCTGACATTAATGGGAGGCAATGTAATAACCTCAGCACAGAGCACCCTTGGTTTCATCCTGTATGTGTTTTGTTTTTATCTCATTTAAAGAAGAGAACAATTATTTTATATTTATCTCAAATATGTGATCATACCATAACCTTTTCAAATAAGTTTTCTTGAGGTATTTGGAACATTGTTGTGTCAGCACAGTCACAGTCACTCTATGAAACATGTGGGAATATTTTGAAAGCCTCAGGCAGGGATTCACACCCCCACTGCACTATAACCTAGTGGTGCTGAAAGTAAAATAACAACAGAAACCCTCTATCTAGCTTTATTGTTATGACTTCCATTAGCCATTTACTAGACTGGATGGCTGCCTAGGGCACCCAAAAGATAAACTATTTAATCTGTGGTAAAGCATAATCCTGAAACCTAGTATTTTACAGAGGATAATGGAAACTAAATAGTTTTTATAGATTATATCTGCTTGCAACCTATTAATCAATTACTAAATTTTTCTATTCCTCACCACATGGAGAAAAGATTTTGCTACCAAAATACTAAATTCTGAATTAGCTTTTAGAACGTTTAAGACAACAAACTAACTTGTCTATAAGAACATTGGGTAAAATAGTTAGGATTTCTCCTTTTTAATCTTTTCCCTAAGAAAATTAACTCCTAAGTTGGTTTTCTGTCTTGCAAACTAGATGCTAAAAAATTAAAACCTACCACACAGCAGGGTTATTTAATTTTAAAAGATTGGCATTTAAGAAAAGTCAAAAAACACTAAGAGGATTAGAGAATAATCTTATACTTTAGAGCTTAAATGTTCGCTTTATTTTCACTTATTTCTTATTGTCTTTTACTAAACTTTGGCTCTAAATTTACTTACTGGGTACTTTTTAAAAAATAAATCTTAAGAGCTTTTATCATTTCTTTTTTCCTGAATTTATTTTGTTCATGTATTCAAAAGTACTAAGCATAGTACACTGTTTACTGCTTAGGGAAGCTCCTTTTACATTCTTTGTTGGTGTTATTTTAATATTAATAAAATCACATTATTTCTCAGGTGGCTAATGTAATTTAAATGATTAGCACAGTATCTTAGTTATTAAGCACTTTCAAGTATAAAATTAAGCAGTTTCCAAACACTTTCATATTTGTTTTCCTGAAGGGGTTTTATAAATCTTAACCTGTGGTACTTACAAAGCTAAATTTTTTTGTTGGTTGTTTGTTTGAAATCTACCTCCCTACTCTATTTTATGTTGCTTCTTTTATGTTCAACTTTGTTGAACAAAGTTCAACAAAGCATCACCCCTCTCGCATCACCTTTACTGATGTGCATATAGCAGTGCTTAATTTATGTCTCCTAAACAATTATAACTTGTATATGATGTAAGGAAAAGAAAGTAACAAGTCAAAATGAATGTCTAATTTTTTGTTCTCCCTCTTAAAATACATATATTTTTCTTTATTACCAAAAGGGAGCGTGATTGCTATAGAAAATGTTACAGTTACAGAAAACAGTAGAATTCTAAAATCTATTTGTAAATCACATCTTTAAACCATAACGTTGGCATCATGGTACCCTTTGTTCCAGTCTCTTTTTCAAGAAATAACTTTCTATATTTTGATCATACTTCTGTATCATTTTATCCTTCAGCTAACCAACCTCTGATAAGTCTTTTTTTTTCTTTTCTTAGGCTAGTAGCAAAACAAAAACAAAAACAAAACCTAAAACTGATGTTTTTCATGTCTTGGTTTTAGAATTATTTCAATTTATTATACATTTAAAAAATCAAGTATTCCAGATGAATGACCCTTTGCTAGAGTCTCTTCTGGAAATGCATATTAGAAGAGAGCAAGCACACTATTCAGTTTATCTCTTCTACTTTTGGGTGCATTTACGTCACCCTGCTTTTGTTCTAATGATAGTGACAAAGGTAGCTGTCACTAAGTATTGAGGAAGCTAGAGAGGACAATCAGAGAGATTTCCAGGGCCTGTGTACATCTGTTTGTGGACAAATAGGACACTCCTTTTTTAGATAGTGCTAATTATAATGTAATCCCAAAGCAGAGAAAGTTTCTCAAAGTTTTCTTGTAACTCTAGTTATAAGCAAGTGAGATAGGTGAAAACTGTATCAATTTTAAGAAAAAAATAAATGATTGGTATTCTTTTTAGTATGGCCTCAGGAGAAGAAAATTGAAATCAGATAACTCTGAGTTTGGAACTACAGCTTCATTTAGAGTTGTGGAACATTCAGCAAATTTAACCTCTCTGAGCTTTTTAAAATGTTTCAACAGGAGTAACAAAAACATAAAATCTTGGTAATTGATGCAATCTCATGTGTGGCAATGCCTGGGACACCACTGGGCTACATAGAAAGTTTTAAATGTTAACTCACCTCTTTACTTTTTCTTTACACTGGCTTTCATGGAGTTCAGGACATTCTAATCCAAATTAACGTACTTTGGCATATGAGAAAACAGCAGAAGCAGGAAGGTCTTTCTGACCTTCTTTCGTCCTTCTGAAGCGGGCCATAAAGAATTCTCTGACTTTTCTCTAAAGTAGGTTATAAGACTCTCATGAGAGGGATTCTCTCCCTATGCAGGTTTAATATTTCTCACCAAAAAATCCAAAATCTGCTCCCAAATTAAAAACTTTTTGAGATCTTGCATGACACTACAAGTAGAGAATTCTACAGCTGATCTGCCTGATCTGCTCATGTGATGGGTTGCAGTCAAAATGCAGTCAAAACTTTGTTTCAGTCACAAAATTATTTAAAATACTGTACAAAATTACCTTCAGGATATGTGTATACATTGTGTATTAAACATAAATGAATTTCATGTTTAGACTTAGGTCCCATCCCAAATATATCTCATTTTGTATATGCAAATATTCCAAAATTTAAAAAAATTAGAAATCCAAAACACTTCTAGTCCTAACCATTTTGGATAAAGGCTACTCAATCCATAATCCAAGAAAAGGAATGTCCCTATCTCTGAAGACACAAGGACACAGAGAACAACTTGAACAGGTTTTGCTAAGTTCCCCCAAGTTTATTACCATGAAATCATATCCTCTTTGTCTGATCGTACTTCTGTACAACTCTCCACTCTTCATTCACAAATTTTCCTGTTTCTTTGGGTCTTCATTTCTGAACACTCTCATGTCATGTAAAACTTACATTAAGTAAATTTGTATGCTTTTCTCTTTTTAATCTCTTTTTTTTAATAGGGATCTCAGCCATGAACCTAACTGATGGTGAAGTAAGAAATCTTTTCTTTTTTAAAATTTTATTTTTATTTTTTAAGACACAAGGTCTCATTCTGTTACCCAGGCTGAAGTGCAGTGGTGTGAATATAGATCACTGCTGCCTCCACCTCTTGGGCTCAGGCAATCCTCCTGCCTCAATCTCCCTAGTAGCTAGGACAGCAAGTGCATGCTACCACACCTGGCTAATTAAAAAAAAAAAAGAAAATTTGTAGAGACAGGTGTCTCGCTATTTTGTCCAAGGTGCTCTCAAACTCCTGGCCTCAAGTGTTCCTCCCACTTCAGCTTCCCAAAGTATTGGGATTACAGGGGTGAGACACCATGCCTGGCTTATTTTATTGTTGGAGGTGTGGTTTTACATGTCTGCAGCTCCTGCTAACAAAATACCACTCCAGCAATAATTCATTTATTTCTTGTATCTAGCACATAGTAGGTGCTCAGTTTGCTCAACAAAGGAATAGCACTCTGCTATACACTGAGTGTCTGGGAGTTGTAAAAGGGACATGTCTTCATGTCCTCATGTCTTCATGGGGTTTAAAGTTTATTGAGGAAGGTGGTCGTAAATACATGAACAGTCATATGTTCTACCAAGGGGTGCTGGGAAGGGCATTCTCACAGGATGTCAGGCAATGAAATACTTACTGCAGAGTCTGGGTGCCAGGTAGGAGTTGGGCTTCCCCCACAACATTCTGCCTTTGGGATCAGGTAGTTTGGGGTAAATCCTGCATTGAGTGAATGAGCCATATCTATAGCTCCTCTGAACCTGACTCATCTTACAGCCTTCATCTCCCTTGGAAGATTGCATAAACTGCCAGTGCGGCAAATGCAACACAGCAGTCTCTCTTGAATAAAGGTTACAACAAGGTTACATCTAATAAACGTATCATACATTGTTGGGTTTTTCAGGATGTAACCCCACCATAAGTTGAGAAGCATACTGAATGTTTATCACTTTCACACCATCATTGTGTTGAAAAATTGTAAGTCGAATCTTATGTTGAACCATCCTAAGTTGGAGATCATGTGTATTACTCAATGATAGGGTATTCACAGAGTCGTGCAACCATCACCATAACCTAATGTTAGAACATTTTCTTCATTGCAAACATAAACCTTGTATCCATTAGCAGTCACTCCCCATCCCCTACCCTGCTACTATTTACCCCCATCCCTTAATCTTGGGTAACCACTAATCAACTTTCTGCCTCTATGAATTTGCCTATTCTGGAGGTTTCACATAAATGGAATCATACATGAGGTTTTTCATAACTTCTTTCACTTAGCATAATGTTTTTGAAGTTTATTCATGTTGTAGCATGTGTCAATACTTCACTGTTTTTTATTACCAAATAATATTCCAGTGTATGGATGAACCACATTTTTTAAAAAAACCTTTTATTTTAGTTTCAGAGGAACATGTGCAGGCTGATTCTGCAGATAAATTGGCTGTCACTGGGGCTTGATGCACATACTATTTCATCACTAAGATAATAAGCATAGTACCTGATAGGTATTTTTTTGATCCTCACCCTCCTCCCACTCCCAACCCTAAAGTAGGACCTGGTGTCTGTTCCTTTCTTTGTGTCCATGTGTACTCAATGTTCAGCTCCCACTTACAAGTAGCAACATGCAATATTTGGTTTTCTGTTCCTGCATTAGTTCGCTTAGGATAATGGCCCCCAGCTCTGTCTATGTTGCTGCAAAGGACATGATCTCACTCTATTTTATGGCTGTGTAGTATTTCATGGAGTGTGTGTATAGAAATATATATATATGTATATACACCATAAATTGTAATTGTGTGTGTATGTGTTTATATGTGTGTGTGTGTGTGTGTGTGTGTGTGTATATATATATATATATATATCACATTTTCTTAATCCAGTCTACCTTTATCGGAATTTAGGTTGATTCCATGTCTTTGCTGCTGTGATGAACATACACGTGCATGTGTCAAAATTTTGTTTAGCTACTCATCAATTGATGAACATTTTGTTTACCTACTCATCAGTTGATGAACATTTGTTTACCTACTCATCAGTTGATGAACAGCTAAAATTTCCAGTTTTTAGCTGTTTTTGACAATACGGCAAAGAACATTGATTACAAGTTTTTGTATAAACATATATTTTAATATTTCATGGGTAGATACCTAGGGGTAGAGTTGCTGGGTCATATGGTATATCTTTAGCATACTGAAGAACCGACAAACTCTTATGCAAAGTTGTTGCACTATTTTACAATCTCACGAACAATATATGAGAGTTCTAACTTCTCGATAATCTTTGCTGTCACCTGTTATTTTCTGTCTTTTTGATTATCATCATTCTAGTAGATGTGAAGTGGTATCTCATTGTGGTTTTGATTTACCTTTACCTGATGACTATGATGTTGAATATCTATTCATGTGTTATTGTTCGTATGTATATATTCTTTGGAGAAAGTGTCATTCAAATAATTTGCCCATTAACATTTTTTTGTCTTTTTTATTGTTGAGTTGTAGGAGTACTCTACATATTCCTTATACAAGTCCATTACCACAAATAAGATTTGCAGATATTTTCTTCTAGTCTATGGGTTGTCTTTTCATTTCCTTGATGGTTTCCTTTGAAGCCTGTTTTTTGTTTCTTTTTCGTTTTTGTTTTTGTCGAAGTGCAGTTTACCGAGTTTTTGTCTTTTGTCATTGTGAGTTTGGTGTTGTTATATTTAGGAAACCATTGCCTAACCCAAGGTTATGAAAATTTACTCCTGTCTTTCCTTCTAGGAGTTTTATAGTTTTTGCTGTCAAACTTAGGACTATCATCCATTTTAAATTAATAATTAATTTTTGTGTATGGTGTGAGGTAGAGGTCCAAATTTATTCTTTTGCAGTTTTTAGTATACAAGTCTCACACTTTGTTTCTTAAGATTATTTCTAATTGTTTCTTCTTTCCTACGATGTTGTAAATTGCTTTCTATTTGTCATTTTTTTTTTTTACTCATTTCCTTTTTTAAAAATTTCTACTTTTATTTTAGATACAGGGTACGTGTTCAAGTTTGTTACGTGGGTATATTGCATGATGCTGCGGTTGGAATTAGCATCATGCAATATATCCTATTTGTTTAAAGCTTTTTTTTTTTAAACCACTCTTTCTTAGTCTCCAATGTCGTTCTTAAAATTAAACTTTGCTAGAGAATAATCTACTTTATTTAAGTTGTTTAACCACTTTATTAAGCCCTAGTTGACAATAACAAACTTTACCTATTCAAAGTTTTCAATTTGAAACAAACCAATAACGATAATAAAGAGAGCAAAATAAAACTTTGGGAGGCGATGGATATGTTTATGGCCTTGATGATGGTGATAGTTTCATGGGTATACACTTATGCACAATATGTATACACTAATTTTGTACAGCTTTTTATATGTCAATTATTCCTCAAAAAAGTTTGAAAAGACTGTCTTTTCCACACTATTGTCAAATATCAATTTAACCATATATATCTGGGTCTATTTCTGAACCCTATACAATTCTATTGATCTATTTATTTATCTTTACATGAATATCATATTGTCTTGATTACTGCAGCTCTGCAATAAGTTTTAACATTGATAGTATACGTTCTTCATTTTTTTTTTCAAAGTTATTTTGGCTATTCTAGATACTTCATATTTTCATATATATTTTAGAATCATCTTGTCAATTTCTACAAATAATTGTGTTAGAATTATAATTGGGATTGCATTGAATCTGTAGATCAATTTGGGGAGAATTGATGTCTTAACAATATTGAGTATTTTGATAAATGTATATGACATATCTCCCCATTTATTTAGATTTTCCTTAACTTCTACTAGTAATGTTTATAGCATTCAGTGTTCAAGTCTTGCATATCTTTTATTTGATTTATACTTCTATGTTTAATATATCATGATGCAATTTTTATATTAATTTCTGATTTTTATTGCACATATATAAAAACAATTGATTTTTAAATATTTAGCTTGTAATCTGCAAGCTGACTAAAGTCACTTGTTTATTCTAGCAGCTTTTGTAGATTTTATAGGATTTATACATAGACAAACATGTAGTCTGTGAGTAAAGACAGTTTTATTGCTTCGCTTCTAAGATAGATGCCTGTCATCACTTTTTCTGGCCTTATGGCACTAGGTGGAATCACCACTATGGTGAAAGGAAGTGCTTTGTTACTGAATTTGAGAGGAAAACATACAATTTTTCACCATTACATATGATGTTGGCTATTGTTTTTTATAGATGTCCTTTATCAGGTTGAAGAAATGCCCCTCTGTACACCGCTGAGAAAATTTACGAGAAAAAAGCTATTAGATTTTGTAAAATACTTTTTCTGCATCTATTCAGATATTATGTGGTTAAATAACATGATGAATTTAATTGATTAATTTTCTATCAATTGCTCTTTTTTTCCTAAAGTCTTAAGTCTTTAGACTTTTTGTCTGATTGTTAAACCAGAATCTCTGGAATAAACCTTACTTACTCATAATGCTTTTTTAAAGGAATTTTTTATTTAAATTTTTGTGGGCAAATAGTAGGTGCATATATTGATGGAGTACATGAGATGCTGTGATACAGACATGCAATGCATAATAATCACATCATACAAAATGGTGTATCCATCCCCTTAAGTATTTATGCTTTGTGTTACAAACTATCTGATTATACACTTTTAGTTATTTTAAAATGCACAATTAAATTATTATTGACTAAAGTCACCCTGTTGTGCTGTCAAATACTAGGACTTATTTATTCTTTTTATTTTTTTGTACCCATTAATCACCCCATCTCCCCTGACCCTTCCCTTCCCTTCGCAGCCTCTGGAAACTATCTTTCTACTCTCTATCTCCATGAGTTCAATTATTTGATTTTTAGATCCCACAACTAAGTAAGAACATGTGATCTTTGCCTTTTTGGCCTGGCTTATTTCACTTAGCATAATGACCTCCAGTCCCATCCATGTTGTTGCAAATGACAGGATCTCATTCTTTATTATGGCTGAATACTAAACACATTCGGCTTATTCCTTCATTAATGGACACTTAGCCAAATTTTGGCTATTGTGAACAGTGCTGCAACAAACATGAAAGTGTGGATATCTCTTCAATATAGTGATTTCCTTTTTGGTGGGGGGCATATACCCAGCAGTGGGATTGCTAGATCGTATGGTAGCTTTATTTTTAGTTTTTTTGAGGAACTTCTACTTTGTTCTCCATAGTGGTTGTACTAATTTACATTACCACAAACAGTGTTTGAGGGTTCTCTTTTCTCCACATCTTTGCCAGCATTTGTTGTTGCCTGTCTTTTGGATATAAGCTATTTTATCTAAGATGAGATTATATCTTGTTGTAGTTTTGATTTACATTTCTCTGATGATCACTGATGTTGAGCACATTTTTACATGCCTGTTTGCCTTTTATATGTCTCCTTTGAGAAATATCTATTCAAATCTTTTGACCAGTTTTTAATTGGATTATCAGATTTTTTTCCTACAGAGTTTGAGCCCATTGTGTATTCTGGTTATTAATCCCTTGTTAGGTGGGTAGTTGACACATATTTTCTACCATTCTATGTGTGTTTTCTCACTTTGATGACTGTTTACTTTGCTGTGCAGAAGCTTTTTAACTTGATCTGATTCCATTTGTCAATTTTTGCTTTGGTTGCCTGTTCTTATGGGGTATTACTACTCAATAAATGTTTTCCCAGACCAGTCTCTTGGAGATTCCTCCCAATGTTTTCTGGTAGTAGTTTCACAGTTTGAGGTCTTAGATTTAAGTATTTAATCCATTTAGATTTGATTTTTGTATAGAGCAAGACATGGGGGTCTTGCTTCATTCTTCTGCATGTGGACATCCAGTTTTCTCAGTACAACTTATTGAAGAAATTGTCTTTTCCCCAGTATATGTTCTTGGCACTTTTGTCAAAAATGAGTTCACTATAGATGTGTGGATTTGTTTCTGAGTTCTCATTTCTGTTCCATTGGTCTATGTGTCTGTCTTTATGCCAGTATCATGCTATTTTGGTTACCATAGCTGTGTAGTATAAGTTGAAGTTAGGTAATGTGATTCCTCCAGTTTTGCTCTTTTTGCTTAGGATGGCTTTGGCTACTCTCGGTCTTTTTTGATTCCTTATCAATTTTAGGATTTTTCTTTTGTATTTCTGTGAAGAATGTCATTGGTATTTTGATAGGGATTGCATTGAAATCTGTAGATTTCTTTGGGTAGTATGTACATTTTAACAAAACTGATTCTTTCAATCCATGAACATGAAATATCTTCCTTTTTTGGTGGCCTCTTCAATTTCTTTCATCATTGTTTTATAGTTTTCATTATAGAGATCTTTTGCTTCTTTGGTTAATTCCTAGATATTTAATTTTATGTGCAGCTATTTAAATGAGATTACTTTTTTGAAATTTCTTTTTCAGATTGTTCACTGTTGGCATATAGAAATGCTACTATTTTTTATGTGTTAGCTTTGTATCCTGCAACTTTACTGAATTTGTTTTTCAGTAATAATACTTTTTTGGTGGAGAATAATAAAATATTAGTAGGATGTCAGTAGGGGAGATTGATAATTCAGGAACTATATATATATAAATATAAATATATATATTATATATATAATATATAATATAATGTATATAATATATACATATAATATAATTTATTTATATATATATAAACCTGGTTTTAAAACCAGGTACTGTGAGTACTCACCTGATTTTTGCTTTTTATGAAGGTGTTTTGCTTTTTTTTGTTGTTTGTTTGTTTGTTTTGATAGATACTTGTTAAATTGGTGTCCTTGTGGTGGGGGGTGGCGGGTTGGGGGGGAACAGTTGGTGGAGCCTTCTATTGCACCAACTTTCTCTACCTCAAGTCCATGATCTATTTTATTTTATTTTGTATATTGCTAAATTCAGTTTGCTAAATTTTTAAGAATTTTTAAATCTATGTTCTTGAAGGATATTTTTCTGTAATTCTCTTGGAATATATTTGCCTTGTTTTTATATTGGAAATATTTTGACTCATATAATGAATTGGGAAACATTCCTTCCTATTCAAATATCTTTGAGGTCTTCCAAAGAATTGCTATAATACCTCCCTTAAGTATTAGGTGAAAATTATCACTGAAGCCATCTGGGCATGTAGGTGTCTTTTGTGGGAAGGTGCTTAACCACACATTCAATTTCTTTCATATGTACAGCTTTCCCATTTCTCCTAGAGTGAACTTTGTTAATTGGTGTCTTTCAAAGAATTTGTCAATTTTATCAAAGTTGTTGAATTTATTGGTATAAAATTGTTTATAATATTCCTCTGTCATCATTTTAATTATCTGTAGATGCTGTAGTGATAACATTGTTCTCATTCCTGATATTGAAAAATTTTTTGTCTTCTTTTTTTGGCTAAAATTTAATCAATTCTATTGATCTTAAATAATATTTTTTGTTTCATTGATTTTCTTTATTGTTTTTGTTTTATATTTCACCGTTTTCTCCTCTGATCTGTATTTTTTGCTTTATTTTATATTTTCTGGGTTTCATTTACTCTTCCTTTTCAAGAGTTTTAAGGCAAAAGCTTGGCTCTTTAATTTGAGAAGTATTTCTTTTCTAATATAGGCATTTGTACTATAGGTTTCAAAGTACCATTTTAGTGACAGCCTAGAGATATGAATATTTATGTTTTCATTACTGTTTAGTTCAAAATATTTTCTAATTTCCCTTTGAGCCAAGAGTTATTTAGAAATGTTGTATAGTTTCTAAAGTTTTCAAAATCTTTCAGCTATATATAGATTTTTATTTTTCACTTAACTCCAATTTAGTCATAGAGCATATTGAATATAACTTGAATCTTTTGAAATTTATTGAGAGTTTTTAATGCAAAATTTAATCAATCATGGAACATGTTCTGTGTACAATTGACGAGAATGTGTATTATGTTGTTGTTTGTTGAAATGTTTTGTCAATGTCAATTTAGTTAAGTTATTGGTAGTATTATTCAACTCTATATCCTTGTTGGTTTTCAATGTACTTGTTCTCTCGATTATTTTAAAGGGAATATTGAAATCTCATTGTTTCTAATTCCTATCTTTGTTCCTCTGTATGTAATGTCTTTTTTGTCTGGATTCATTACAGATTATTTCTTTATCACCAGTTTTATACAGTTTGATTATGATTTATCTGTAGTTTCATTCATATATCTTATGCTAGGAGTTTGTTGAGCTTCTTGGACCTATGAGCTTATAATTTTAATTTAATTTGGAAAATTGGTCATTATTTTTCAAATATTCTGTTATGTCTTTATTCTACTTCTTTAGGGAACTTGAGTTACACATATATTAGGCTTTTTAATGTTGGTTCCACAGCTCACTGATACTCTGTTTATTTTTTTAGTCTTTTTTCCCTGTTTCATTTGCAGAGTTTTCACTGGTATGTTCTCAATTTCACTTATCTTTCTTATGCAAAGTATAATCTGCCATTAATCCCATCAACTGTGTTTTTCATCTCAGATTTGTATGTTTCATTTCTAGATGTTTAATTTTAGTCATTCATGTTTCTACTTCCTTTAACTTCTTGAACATGTGGAATATAGTTATAATAACTTTTAATATCATTGTCTATTAAATCTATCATCTGTGTCAATTGAAGATCGGTTTGGATTGATTTTTCTCCTCAGTATGAGTTGTATTTTCCTACCTCTTTGCATGTCTGGTAATTTTTATTGAATGCCAGACATTGTGAATTTGACCTTACTGGTATTTGCTGTTTGTGTCCCTAAAAATATGCTTGTGCTTTCAATTTCTATGAAAGAAATTTCTTACAAACCTACCTTACGTGGTTCATTCTTCTTCCATCTACTATATTATTTTCTCTCATATCACTACATCCTTTAGCTGTGTTACATGAGAAATAATTCTTTTGTTTTTGTTCATTTACTTCTTTATTATCTCTCTGTCTCATATTCCAGTAGGCCATCATCTCCAGGAAAGGAAGGGCCACTTTGCTCTCTTTTTATCCCTATTACCTAACACAGTGTCTATCACATAATTGTTCAATAAATAAATGAATTATTTTAGATTTTTGCTCTTTTAACATCGTGAGTTAACATTTTGTTTTGCTGAAAACATTCTTGACAACATTTAAATTTTGTTATAATACATGTAAAATATAAGCCATCTTCAGGTTTCATAGTTTTGATTCTGACTATCCTTAAGGAATTTAAAACAGTATATTTTGCCCTGAAATTTTTAATGAAATGTTCTAATGAAGGAATGCTTCATGGTGATACATATATATGTATAATTTATAAGAATGTAAAATGTTTTTCATTTGAATTTTTAACCTGAAATAAGTATCTAATGCTACAGTTAATAAATGAGTAAATGTAAGACCCATTATTTCCCTCAACTGCTTCCAAATGTAATTCACATTAAGATCCTGGTTTTGCGTATGTTTTAGTTTGCTGTAATAATTTCTCAAGTTTTCCCACATGCCTGTGCCTCTCCAGAAAAAGGACACTTTGCATCTTAAAAATGTTAATAAAATAAAAGTATCATTTACATAAATTTCTATTATTGTTCAAAAATTTAAGTATTATTCATATTTGAGCCAGTAAGCTCTTTTGAATGGAGCATATTAAATAAAAGTAGCATCATGGATTCAATTATTTCATGGACCAGTTAGCTTACCGCAAAGAATCCATTCTGTTTCATTGCTCAAGAATAAATTCCTTTTTAAAGACAGCTTTTTTATAAATATATCTCAGAGTTCATAAGAGTCACCAAATGAGAGAGTGTGAACAGCTTATTCCAAATTTCTCAGGACAACTAATAAAAGAAAAAAAAGCTTTGAACTATATTTTTAGTATTTTAAGTCAGTAACATGACAGTTTTATTCAAAACATTACATGTTTGAATATAATGATTCTCACATATTTGTTCTTAGTCCTTGGTGATTTATCTGAAAGTAAGATAAAATAATGTCAAGATTTTTGAGGGAAAATGCTACACAATTGAGAAGTAGACGTTATTCTTTAGTTTGTAATGCTGATCTAAACCTCTTGGGAGTAAATATAGGGAAAAACATTTTTCTTTAAAACCAGATCAGTAGCAGATCATATGACAAAATAAGTGAATGGGCAGCTGTATTTCTCAGGGAAAAAATGATATTCCTTTTTTATTTTCAACTGCAATCTTAAATGAAACATGTTGATGCTGCTTGAAACATAAACGTCCCTTTAAAAATCGGAATCAAGATCCCAAATTTTAGGGTAAATCATCAGAGAAACAGCTGTTAGCCGTTATGAAAGGGCTGCATAGAGTAACGATACAGATAAAAAGGCTGAAGTCATGAAACCTTTTGTTTTACTGCCCAATGATGATAACAATTACCCTAAGCACAGGCAACATTTAGCAGAATGATTAAATTGCTTCTCTGTAAGTTATCATTTTGACCAGAAAGTGAGGCTGTATATTTGATCTTACCAGGTTCTTTTATTAGGATCATATTTTTAACTATCAGGTGGATGGTTTATTATATTGACTTCAATCTTAATTTTTAAATTATATACCTGGAGTATCAAGTGTGTACAAACTAAAAAGCATGATAATTTAGATGAGAAATAACTACGTATATGTTTTATGTCTAAAACTGAAGGATGCATATAAATATTTATATCTAAATGTGGTTACAACTAACTTACATGAGCCTGTGAAGGAATCCAGGTTTATCCTACCTTGACAGTCCTGTTGCCCATTTGGCCGCCATTTTTTTCAGTCACTTATATTTGATTAATTCTAGTCTTTGAACCAAGAAGACCACACTAATGTTCAGGAAAGAAGTGCCCCTGAAGGCCTGTCCACAGGTTATATTGTTCACAAGGAAGAGCTGATTGTCACCAAAATGTCTCTTGATCATGCTTCAGGGTTAAAGGAAAATAATGAATATTGTAACTATGATCCAGTCACAGTGTATTATACATTATTTTAGACATGATTCTTATAAAGGTTATTTCCAACCCAAATGGGAATGGACATTGACAGAAAGGGGATAATTTAATGAACAGTAGTTCTTTGTTTTAATGTAGTCAAAGTCAACCATCTTTTCTTCTTTGTTCTATTTCTGAAGAATATTTCAATGCATTATCTGAACTACGTTATATGAACTTTTGTCCTATTTCCTCAAGACAATGCAATATGTTAGGCTCATATTTGTTATCAATTTAACTAATATCTTCTCTCAATTTGCTATGTACCACTAAAAACAACCTGTTCATTATTTCCTTCGATTCATTTTATCTTAGTGCCTGCTAATCTGTTTTTTTTTCAGTTTTCATATAATTTTTTAATGCAATCTTCTTTAAATCCCCATTAATAGAGTGATAGCTGGTCTCCAATTTTCTTTATCCTTTAAGCTTGTTATCCTATGAAAGAAATTAAATACAGCACAGTGGACTGCATACACGTTTATAAATGATGTGAGCCTATCTTTATTCAAGCAATTAATCTTGCTCTTTTAGAAGAAACCCAAAGGGAAATAACCCAAGTTGTCTTATATTTCCAGGAAATATCATGCACAAAACAGAGGGATTTACTGTTTACTATATCTCCAATGTTAGAAATATATCACCCAAACAGCACTTTTCTCCCAAATGCAAATTATTAGATAATCTGATTGATAAATGTTTACTTTGATCTAGAAATCAGCTTAAACTGACAAATTTATATATTATAGAAAAAGTGTGCTATTTACACATTCATTTTTAAAATTATGCCATGAGAATTTAAAAAAGAACCAAATATGTCTTTCCAAATGTCTTTAATTCATCTGGATAATAGAGGAAGATAATATAAATATATGTAGCCTTTCTCCTTTGAATTGATAGCGAAACCTCTAAACTGTTGAAGGCAGCAATATGTCTGGCTAAAATACTATGTTATGCACTGGGAATTTAGCTTTATCAGGAATTATTATGCATTATTTTTGATCCTTTTAATGAATACTTTTACAAATTAGGAACTTAAAGTAGTTCCTGAATTATCAATCTCCCCTACTGACATCCTACTAATAAAATAAGAATTTATCACATTTAAACTTTCTTTTACTTCTCCTTCCAAACATCTCCCTATATGAAAAAAATTAATAGTTAAAAATATTTTCAAGGATTCTAGCATTTGTACTTTTTCTACAAGTCTTACAGTTCTTTGACCTTGTAGTCTGATGTATTTAAATGGGTTGAAGGCTTGCCAGTTTTCTTCCTTTCCTTTCCTTTCCTTTCCTTTCCTTTCCTTTCCTTTCCTTTCCTTTCCTTTCCTTTCCTTTCCTTTCCTTTCCTTTCCTTTCTTTACCATTGGCTTCTTGATTCTTTAGTTATTTTAATTCAATTTTATTGCGCTCTATTTTAACAAGACTTAGTATTTCATTTCGTTTTATTCCAAGAAGAGGTTGTAGGTGCTATATTTTCTGAGAATGTTTTTTGGTGTCTTTATACTTGGCTTCATATAAAACTTGATTACAGAATTTTCTCAGAACTTTATAAGTATTTTTCTTATTTCATTGAATGTTGTTTTAGAAAATCTAAAGCCAGCTGTTATTGCCTGTTGGAAGTGATTTGGATTCCCAAAGGACACTTTTTATATCCTTAAGTTTATTAAGCTTGTCATGAACTTCATGATGTACAAACTTGACTAGACTATGATTTCCAGTTATTCAATCAAACACTAATCTAGATGTTGCTGCAAAAGATATTTTCTAGATTCGATTGAAGTTCATGATCAATTGACTTTGAGTAAGGGAGATTATCCTAGATAATCTGGGCAGGCCTGGTGCAATGAGTTGAAAGGGCTTTAAAACAGAACTGAGGCTTCCCTGAAGAAATCCTGCCTGTGAATAGTAACATCAGCCATGCACAAGAGTTTCAACTTGCTTTTCCTGGTGGCCTGCTTTGTGGACTTAGGACTTGGCTAGTCAAGCACACAACTGCATAAACCTATTCCTTGCAATAAATTCCTTTCTCTCTCTCTCTCTCTCTCTCTCTCTCTCTCTCTCTCTCTGTGTGTGTGTGTGTGTGTGTGTGTGTGTATTGAGAGATAGCCTGCTAGTTCTTCCTCTATATCAGTTGAACACTGACTAATATAGATTATCTTAAAATGTAGAATTGATCAGTGTGTGGAGGCTACGATATTGAGGAGCCTTACAGAAAAAGCCTAGATTTCCTTGAACAGACCATTAGTAGAATTATGGATGTCAAAGATTCTGCTCATAAGGACTCAGAAAGAAGTGAGGAGCATGGTAAGGAAAACCTGAATTACCTTAGAGAATATCTAATTATAAACAGACTGTTAGTAGAAATATGGAAGTTAAAGATGCTACAATTGAGAGCCCAAGAGGAAATGAGGTGCATGCTATTGGTAACTGGACGAGAAGAGATTCTTGTTATGTAGTGGCAGAAAGCTTAATTAGTGGAATAATGTCCTGCAGTTACATAGGAGGAGAATTTTCCAGATACGGCCTTGGACATTCAGTTAAGCACAGTTTTAACCAGAATTGAATGTGCAGCCTGTTTTTGTTTGTTTTTGTTTTTTGGGTTTTTTTTGTTGTTGTTGCTTATAGTAAAATGCCAGGGAAAATTGCTTTTGAAAGAAGTACTGTTGCACAAAAAGGAACCAGGACTAGATGATTTGGAAAATTCCAATCCATCCAGATTGTGAAAAATGCTAAAATGAAGATTCACTGTCAGGAAAGCATATTCTAGAGGGACAACTGAGATATGGCTGGACAACCTTTTGCTGATACCTCAGAAAGATCAAAAAGAGAATTTAGTCACACAAAGGCTCTTTGAAAAGAATAAATGTGTGACTCACAAGTCTCATTAGTTATCAAGCAGCAGCTAGAAATGAGGATAGTTTTCTTAGTTTGTTTTGTGCTGCTATAACAGAATACCTGACTGAGTAATTTATAAGGAACAGATAGGTATTTTCTCACAATTATGGAGGCTGGAAAGTCCAAGATCAAGGTGCTAGCAACAAGTGATGGCCTTCTTAATCTATGATTACATGGTGGAAGGTAGAAGTGCAAAGGCACAAAAAGGGCTGAACCTAGGGCATTAATCCCACCCATGAGGGCTGTGCCCTCATGGCCCAATCACCTTCCAAAAGTCCCACCTGTCAATACTGCCACAATGGCAACTAAATGTCAAGCTGAATTTTGGACAAAACAAACATTCAAATCATAGGAATGGGATTATACAGGAAAGATTTGTGGAGAAGTCTCTTGTCTAATGAAGTGAATTCCCATAATACACATGAGACCTCAGGATTTTTGAAAAATTTAAATCAGTAGAACACTGCCAGCTTGGACCAAAAGTGACAGAAACCGTATTAATGGAAAGAAGGCTTCTGGACTCCCAAAAGTGTACAGGCAGGAAATAGACTATTAAAATGACTCAGCTGCTAACCCATGCTACTTTTCATGAAAAAAGAAGGATGACTTAGAAGGCAGAGCTGAAAACCACAGAGGATTATTCTCAGACTTAGAACTGTTCTCAAGTTTGCCCAGCTGGGTTTTAAAATGGCTTGGGATCAGTAACCCTTTTTCTTTTTATTTTATCTCATTTTGAATAGGAATTGCTTATTCCTGTCTCATCAAGGTATTTTGTGAGCAGATAACTTATTCTTGAGTTTCACAGGTCCATAAATGGAGAGGAATTATGCATCAAGATGGATTATACCCAGGGCTTCACCCATGCCAAATTTAGATGTGTCAACTCTAGACAGTCTCTTTTATTTAGGTGTTAATTTTATTGTTTCTGTTATACATTCTTTAAAGTTATTGGAAGTTGTAGGAATTTTCATGCTTCAGTAAAGATGCAGTTATATTTATATTTTTGGTTGATTAAAATATACTTTATCTTGGCATTGTGGGAGAGGAAAAGGGAAAATCTTTGCTCTTATTGTGTCTCTTTTAACTAGGAAAATGATTACCTATTAATGCATATAAATAAATCAGGGCCAGGAAATTGTACATTTGTTAAGTAAATAAATTATTCCATTTATAAATTGATTTGTATCCAATCATGTTTCGGAAAGAATTTAAAATAATCTTAACATTAGTATAATCAATAAACAAGCCTTAAATTATAGACATCTTGAACAGGATTGAGAAATCTAAATAAGTCTGGAAAACGAAGTCTAAAAAGTTAAAGAATGGCTCAATTCTGAAAGACAGCACTTATTTTTAAAAATTAATACATAAATTTAAAAAAACATTTATTTGGAATTCATTTCAAAAAATCCATCAGGAAAAATTCTCACTTGTTTGAAGTTCATTTTTTACTGAAATAGCGTGGTATTACTTTTGCCTCTTGAATCTAGAAAGAGGCTTAAGCACAAGAAAAGGAAAAAAATGTATATATTTTTGCATGTCAGGGCTAATGTAATTGTTGAGTAAATGCATAAAGCTAAGCTTGTTATAGTCAACTGCCAATTACTGCAGTTTTTCTTAGGGATTTAAATAGTATGGGAAAATAATACTTAAAATATTTAACTGTGTAATTAACTGCAATGTTTAGCTCAAAATACATTTAAAACTGATATTAGTAATGAATAGCTTAAAAATTCATAGAGTTGCCCTCTGCCCCTTAAGGATATAGAAAAATAACCAAAATGATGCGATTTGTCTCAGGAAAAACAAAAGGACTGGGTAATTCAAATTTAATTTAACAATTAAGAATAGCTACACTTGCTGGGCGCTGTGGCTCACGCCTGTAATCTCAGCATTTTGGAAGGTCAAGGCGGCAGATCACCTGAGGTTGGGAGTTTGAGACCAGCCTGACCAACATGGAGAAACCCCGTCTCTACTAAAAAAAAAAAAAAAAAAAAAAAAAAGGCCGGGCATGGTGGCACATGCCTGTAATCCTAGCTACTCGGGAGGCTGATGCAGGAGAATCGCTAGAACCCAGGAAGCAGAGGTTGCAGTGAGCCGAGATTGCGCTACTGCACTCCAGGCTGGGCAACAGAGCAAAACTCTGTCTCAAAAAAAAAAAAAAGAATAGCAACACTTAATTGGAAATTCGTGCATCTGACCTGTGAGGTAAATTTTTTTATTAAAGTTATCTTCCCAACAAAGTGAAAAGAAATATCTTATGGATTATGTATGCTGAGCCCAATAAAAACTGTCACTATGCTCTTAAATTTTAAGAATTTTTTGTGTTATTGTATTACTCTCACAAATGTAACTAAGGTGGGAGGAGCATTTATCTTTAGTCTTTTGTCTTTAGTCAGAGCAAAGTCTCATTAATGGATTTAACCTACCCATGTTGAGACTGAGAGATAAAAATATTTATATTTTTAAAATAGAGTACTTAAAATTAATCACTTTAATAATTTGAGATAATGTTTGTATTATTTCCAGTACACAGACACACTTATACACACAAACACACTCACACACACATGCTTTTAGAAGAAAGAAAATGCTCCTCCTAAGGAATCCTTATAATTCTATTGGAGTTATTAACTAAAAGTATTTTAGTGTTTTGGGCAGCTATAAAATTTATTTATATATAGTGATATGATATGTGTTTCTATCTAAAGCCCTTGAAGACAGGGAAAGGAAAAAGTCTTTTAGCTTCCTATATCAAATACTTGAAAGTCTATTTAATTTGTTTATTAAGCAAACAAGCAAAAAATAAGTAAATACAGAATGAAAATAAAGTTAAAATGTTAGTGTATTTCTTTATGAACTCTTTATTCCACTGAAGAAGCGAACCTTTTGAACTAACTGTAGTTTGATTATTGAACAATTAAATAGCTGTGATTCCCTAATTTTCTACTCTAAAATGGCATTTTGATTGGATTTATAAAGGTATGTATCAACAGCACAATTTTCATACATTTAACATTTAAATGTGTAGTGAAGAATATTCTGGCAAAATTTAAAATATGTGCCTGTTTTCATGACCTGAAGGGATTTAAAGGTGGTAATATTTGCTATAATTTAACATTTTTAAATAATTCATAACCTCATTTTATATTATTATTTACTCTTAGTCAAGGGTTAGAGAACATTTTCACTCTTGTTTAAGTTAAGTAATGTTGGTATTTCATTGTAATATGAGATAGGTGGTCCTAGCATTTATTTTTACAAATCATATTATTTATTGGCATATCATTTAACTGTCTTCTTAACCATTTTGTCCCTTGGTTTTGAATCTTAATATTTTCCTTCATCAATGATCTTTAAGAATGATCTTTCAGCTTAAAAGAAACTAAACGTAAGAAAGTTTCATTAATTTAAGAATGGGGCTGCTTTGGATTCACATTTCCTTGCTCAAGAAGTACGTAATTTTTCATATTGATAACTTTGTATCCTCGTTTTTAAATATTACTAATGAACAGAAATAAACTTAGATAAAAATGGCATGACAAAAAAGTATGACATCACTTATTTCAAATCAAAATGAATGCAACATAAAGTGCTTTAACTGAACACTGACAAGGTGTTAAAAGCACAGCATTTAAAAACTGGTCATTTATGCTGGGTTATAGATTATTTGTCCACCACTTCAAACTCACATATGAAAATTCCATACTAAAAACTTCACAGTATTGGCTAGTAGTCCATGAAGGATGCATTAGCAATTTAATGAATATCATTCATTATTTATTAAATATTATGCATTAAATTGCTAATTCATTGTGAATGCATAACATTCACAATGAAAGAAAACATCTACCTGTTGCCATTGTTTTTAGCCTGTATTAGTATGAAAACTATAAAATATGTTTTTTTTTTAAACCTTGCAGATACATTTAGTTAATAGTACCAGTACAGGGTAAAGATAAAGGATTAGGCTATTTCTATCTGTACTTATAAATACTTGTTAAAAATTGACTTCAGTAACTAGCCCTACCATTTTGGTTTAATAACCCAAGGTCACTAGTAGAGCTTTGTTAGCCACAAGTCTCCCTGGTACACTTAGGACTGGTCCTGACCTTAATAATTTATACATTTGCCCTTTTTAAAGTATTGTGTCTGGGCTGGCATTTGTGTGAAGGGGCGGGTACGTTAGAAAGAACTTGAAACTTTAAAATATCCTGGAAATTTAGGAATCTCCAGGGTTCAATGTAAATTATTGTTCTTTCATCTGAGATGTTCTTGCCCATGCATTTTGAGTGTTGAAATATCCTTCGGTAATACATACAAAGGAGGAACAGTTGCGACAATAGATGCTCTTTCTTTTTATTATGCTCACTTAGACTGTAAAGTTGTCTGCCATCTTTATGTCAATTCTCTATTATTATTTATTTATTTTTAAAATCACTGTGATTCTTGAAGTACAACCCTGGAGCCACTGTCTTAAATACTCCAGGCTCTGCAGGAGGGAGGCACCAAGCTCTCAATAACACAGCACATTGTTTGGGAGAGGAAGGGAAGGGGAACTTTGAGTTCTCTGAAAACTCCTCATCCACCCTGAATATTAAGCATAACGAGCCTCACTTACCTGAGAAGAGGGGAAAACTAGAGGTGGTGTAGAGTTCATATTGTGGGATTTTATACTAGCCATTATTCTTAGCGAACTGAGAGGGCCATCATCAGTTTATAAATGGTGGTTTTGACCTGAGGGCTTTTCAACAGCTGCTACAAAATAAATTTTTGTGGAGAAGACTAACATCAGTAAACCTCCAGGAAAGAGCTATATGCTGCTCTCAGAGGGCTGACCAGCAGAGTACACTTTACAGGTACAGCTGTAGAAGGATTTAAAAAGATTGGAAGGGTGATAGCAACGGGAGAGACCACCAGTTCACTCGTAACTATTGAAGTGCTGACAGTCTCCTGATACCAGGAACCATTGGTTAAAACAATATGCATTGTGGTTTAAAAGAAAGGCTTTGAAGTTAGACAGAATAGAGAATAAATTCTGGTTTCACCACTTACCAGCTAGGAGGCATTGAAAATGCCCTGTAACCTCCCTATGCTTCAGTATCTTGAGCTGTGATGTATGATAATATTGACCTCATAGGATTGTCAGCAAATTAAACATATTCTGATTTTAGAATTAAATTAGCAAATGTATATAACCTGCTTTGCACACCTGTTGTATACTAAGCTCTCAATAAATACTGGCAACTATGTTATATACATTTGCTAATTTAAAAAACTTCAGATATTGCATATGTGGCCTGGTGAGGTAGGGGTAAGGAAGAGCTCTTATTCTTTTGAGTTCTAAGAGTAGTGTATTGCTACATCTAAATCCCTTATGGCAATATTGACTTAGTATATCGAAAAAGAAGCAGTCCATAAACAGCAAAAATTATTAATATCAGAAACAAATTAAATTCCTGCTTTTATCTTGGGATGACATGTGTAATGAAATATAAAGAAGAGAGTTTTACCAGCTATATGCCTTTTGAAATGAGAAAATGTTTATTTTTAGTTAACAATGCAATTATGAAAGAAGGTACAATCATTTAAGTTTGTGTAAGTTCCAAGGCTCCATTGACACTATCAATTGGAAATGGGGAATTAGCAAGACTCTAAGCTACAAACCTTCGATATGTGTCTAATGTTACATTTATCTTTATGTTATCCTTGCAAATTCAACACTCACTCCATTGACTTCATGTGTTTCTATTAGTCTTCAATCAGGATAAGCTAGTGGGAGAAAGTGGCAGTTCTATATTCACCACTACTTAGATTTTAGTGTAGGCATTTTATTTGACCTGATATTGAAGCATATGAAAAATATAGGTAAATAATTGTAACACAGTGGTAAGGATTTGTGTATCTAAACACATCTAAACATAGAAAAGGTACAGTAAAAATACAGTATCCAAAACAAAACATGATACACCTATATAGGGCACTTAACATGAATGGAGCTTGTAGGACTGAAATTTGCTCTAGGTGAGTTGGTGAGTGAATGTGAAGGCCTAGGACATGACTGTACACTACTGTAGACTTTATAAACACTGAACACTTAGGCGACACTAACTTTATAACAACAGTTTTCTTTCTTCAATAAAAAATTAACCTTAGCTTATTATATTTTACCTTATAAACTTTTAAATTTCTTTGTAACTTTTTGACATTTTGTGATAATGCTTAGCTGAAAACACAAATAGATTGTACAACTGTAAAAAAATATATTCTTTGTTTGCATTCTTATTCTGTAAGCCCTATTTTAGGATTTGTTTATATTTTTTGTTTTTTTTTAGCTTCTTATTACAAATAAACACACAAACATACACATTAGCCTTGGCCTACACAGGATCGTCAATATTCACTGTCTTTCTCCTCCACATCTTGTCCCACTGTAAAATCTTCAGGGCCAATAGCAGCATGAAGCTGCCATCTCCTATGATAACAATGCTTTCTTCTGGAATAGCTCGTGAAGGACATGCCTGAGGCTGTTTTACTGTTTTTTTTTTTTTTAATAAGTAGAAGGAGTACACTGTAACATAAAGTTAAAAATTATAGTATGGTAAATACAGAAACCACTAACAGCCATTTATGATAATAAATGTAATGTAAATAGTTGCATGTTCTGTACATTAATATTACTGGCAGTGCAGTAACATTATTTACACCAGCATCATCATAAACATGTGAGTAATTCATTGTGCTACAATGTTACCACAGCCAGGACTTCACTAGGCATTTTAGCTCCGTTTTGTATCTGGTCCATCATTACTGAAATGTTGTTATGCAGCACATGACTATATTTCAAAGCCCATTAAGAATTAGAACCCAGTTCTGTCTGTATCAGTTAGGGTCCACTTAGCAGATAGAAACAACATAGTAATTTAAGCAGGAAAAGTCTAATATAGTAGTTATTAACTATGACAGAGATTGGAGTAAATGTGATTTTCTACTAAGGGGTAAAATAACTCTAATAATTGACAAGAGCAGATATAGGGACCCCTTGGTCTGAGGCAGAGCACCTGAGGAAAGAACAAATGTTTACAAAGTCCACCCATGGGGAGTCAGTGAATGGTGGAGTACACGGAGCTGGCATTCTAGTGGCACTCATGGAGAAGCTACTCTGGAGATCTGGGGCAAACTCTGTAGGGTGATGTCACATTGTGGAACTCAGTGGGAAGCCGTTCATAGGAAGGTGCTGCACTGGTGGAACTATCTAGGAAGCGCCCAGTGATGGGAGGAGGGGAGTGCCCTCTGAGATGCCAGAGAAGTTGCAGGAGCCTTCTGAGAGACCCACCAGATCCAGAAAGAACCCATTCATCCTCTAGTTCTCTCCATTGCCCAATTTGTTTTATACTTAAAATCATGCCATATTGTGAGGAAGAAGTGTTCTAGCCTCACAAGCAGGACAGTAAAGGATGGATTTGGATCTGTGAGGCAATAGATGGATACCTGGTACACTGCTTGCCATCAAATCATGTCATATGGCCTTATATTCACTGTGCCAGAAAATATGACATGTAACAAAATAAAGGAGACTAAGAGGAAAGGAGGGAAATATATGTAATTGGGTTATAAGTGGAGATTTACATTAGTGTCTCTCTTTTCTTTAAAGTGTTTCTAGGCAGAATCACTTTAAGTCCTCAGGAGACTGCTTTGTTGAATTTTAGGACCCTGGCTTATCAACCAAAAACTAGAATTACAAACTGGAGGCCCAATGGGCATACCAGAGATTTTTCGCTGTGCAATTTAAATTATTGTTTAATTCCAGCTTTCTCAGCTACTAGTTAATACAGGTCATGTTCAGCTGACAAAGATTCATTTGCAAATAAGAGCTTCCTTAGGTATCTGAAGCCTACTTGCATCATTTATAGACTGTGAAATTTAGGCAAGTTATTTAACTTCTCTGGGTCTCAGTTTGTACATGTAAAAGGAAATAATAATAGGAGTTACCTTACAGGTATGTTATGAAAATTAAATATGTTAATATTTTAAAGCACTAGGAATAATCCTTTGCACATAATATGTGCTATACAAATGTTTGCCAGATAAAAATAATTCAGTCACAGCAATATGCATTTTATATTTTCTTAAAAACCATAGCCTAGGAATATTAATTATTTTAGTAGTTCCAATATATGGAACTCTATATTTACTCAACATTTTTGTCAGATTAGTCTGATTCCATTGTTAAATAGAAATTAAAAGTAAGAATATATGGATATGTTATAGAATCTATAATGTGAATGCTGTTCGTTGGGTATCTTATTTTTTTTCACAGCCTTAACAATACTGCTTCAAGCTGATAGTGGTTTAAGACGGTATTAGTAAAGCCCTTACTCTTTAGTTTTTGCTTGGAATTAACAAGAAGATTTTTGGTAAAGTAACTTTGACTAAAAAAAAAGACATGTTTTCAGTGTGACCTGTTGTATCCAAATGTTAGTTTTTAATTTGCATCCCTTAAAAGAAGCAAGTATGACAGTCTGTAAAATGTCTAAAATTTTATATATTTTATCTTTTCTTTATAGATGGCAAAGAAAAATATTCTGAACTAATCAAAAAGTCCAAAGCAATTGAAATGTTATTTACACTCTATCCTCCTGAAGGTGCACATGTGCCTGACAGTACACTACTCAAGTCGACTTGGTTGAGACCCATAGTAAATGGGGAAGAAGGTTATAGATATATAGGTAAGATATTGAACCTTATTTTTTATTGTAAAGAAGAAGTGATACCTTATAATATTAAATATATAACTGTATTCATCACTTAGATGATGTGGGATGATACATAGATCTTATAGAATGTTCTCTTTACTTCTTAGATACTCTGCCTGCAATTTAAAAAGGGGCTATTTTATGCTTTGGTGCCTCCGCTAGAATAGTGGAACTACATTGTGCCTGTCTATTCACTAGTTAATGGAAATTTGGGTTGTTTTCACTTTTGCGTTACTACCAGTAATGCTGCTATGAACATTCATGTTCAGGACTATGTTTAGACATGTGTTTGCATTTCTGTTGGCTAACCTGTTTTCCAGTCATTATAACATTTCATATTACCACCAACTGCAGAGATATGAGAGTTGCATTTGTTCCACAGCTCTATCAACAGTTGGTACAATCAGTCTTTCTAATTTTAGCCAATCTAATACATGTATATTGGTAGCTTTTTGTGGTTTTAATTTGCATTTCTCTAGTAAATAATGTTATTTGGCTTCTTTTCAAGTATTCGCTATTTGTATGTCTTTGTTGAAGTGTCTATTCAAAACTTTTGATTATTTTCATATTATTTATTAATGTTTATTAAGTTTTGAGAATCCTTTAGATATTCTGAATACAAATAATTTAACCTATATATGCTTTGTGAATATTTTCTCCCAGTGTATAGTTTGTCCTTTCTGTCTTTTAATAGTATCTTTTGAAGAGCAGAAGTTTTCAATTTTGATAAAGTACAATTTACTATGTGTTTCTTTATTGCATGCTTTTGCTGCCATATCCAATAAGTGTTGGCCTGGATTGTAGTAATAAGGTTTTCTTCTATAAATTTTATAGTTTTAGGTTTATATTTCAGTGTGTGGTTGATTTGGGGTTAATTTTTGTATATGGCTCAAGATATAAATTGAAGTTCTTTTTTAATACTTTGATATCACAAACTTTCCAACAGAGGTATTTGTTGAAAAGACTATTTTTCTATAAATTAACTTCGCAGTTTTGCAAAACCAAATAGTCAAAGAAGATATATAGATAGCAAATGAGCACATGAAAAGATGATCAACATCATTAGTCATCAGGGAAATGCAAATTTAAACTACAGTGAAATACTACTTCTCACTTATTAGAAAGGCTAAGATAATTTTTTAATCTAATGATACCAAACAAGGAGGTGGAATACCTCAAACACTCACACATTACTGGTGGAGATGCAAAATAATACAGCCACTTTGAAAATATTTTGATACTTTCTTATAAATTAAATATATTCTAATCATAAAGCCTAGCCATTCTTTTCCTAGGTAATTACCCAAAATAAAAGAAAACATTTATTTACACAAAGCATATATATACACAATATATATAAATAGGCAATATATACAATATATCATATATGTAACATATATACGTACACACACATACACATATATATATATATATATAATCAACATTATTCAAAGTTGCCAAAAGCTGGAAACAACACAGCTGTTCTTCAACTGGTGAATGAATGAACAAAATTTGGTTCATCCATAAAAATTTGGTTCAGCAGATTTGGAGGAGTGAACTATTGATGTACACAACATGGATGAATTTCAAATGCATCATATTAAGTGAAAGAAGCCAGAGTCCCAGGCTATGGTATAATTCCATTTAAGTGGCACTTTGGAAAAAGCAAACCTATGGGAACAAAGATCAGGCCTGTGATTGCTAGGGCTTAAATTTGATGGTAGTGTTTTACTACAAAGAGGCAGCATGAGGGAGTTCTTAGGGTGATGGAACCATTCTGTATCTTGATTATGATAGCGATGACATAATTATAAATAAGTCAAAACCCATAGAATTGTACACCAAAAGGAATGAACTTTACTATAAGTAAAATGTTTTAAAATAAACACAAAATTAAAAGAGAAGCATTTATATAAATGGCCAAAAAGTCCATAAGAAGATGTGTACCGTCATTAGTCATAGGGAAACGTGAATTAAACCACAGTGAGATATCATTATATATCTACAAAAATGGCTAAAGTTAAAAAGACTGGCCATATCAAGTGTCAGCAGGGATGAGCAGCAACTGGAACACTAATATCATGCTAGTACAAATATAAAATGGTAAATACACTTTGCAAAATATTTTGCATTTATTTATCTATTTTCTTTTCTTCTTCTTTTTGAAAGAGAATCTCACTTTGTAGCCCAGACTGGAGTGCAGTGGCATAATCTCGGTTCACTGCAACCTCTGTCTCCCAAGTTTGAGTGATTCTTGTGTCTCAACCACCCAAGAAGCTGGGATTACAGGTGCCCACCACCACACCCAGCTAATTTTTGTAATTTTTTTTAGTAGATTTGGGGTTTTACCATGTTGGCCAGGCTAGTCTCAAACTCCTGACCTCAAGTGATCTGCCCGTCCTCAGCCTCCTAAAGTGCTGAAATTACAGGCATGAGCTACTGCGCCTGGTCAATTTTTTATAAAATTAAACATACATCTGCCATACAACCAGGCATTACACTTCTACATCTTTATCCCAAAGAAAAGAAAGTATATGTCTATTCAAAAACTTGTATATGAATATTCATAAAACTTTTTGTAAAAGACTCAAACTAATAGAAACAACTCAAATAACTACTTACAGATGAATAGGTAAACATATTGTGATATATCCATGTAGAATACTCAGCAGTATAAAAGAAAAACCTGGATACCTTTGATACATATAACGACAAGGCTGAATCTCAAAATAAGTATGCGAGTGAAAGAGGCCAGACAATAAAGAGTACATACTATATGATTCCATTTATGTAAAATACTAGAAAATGCAAACTGAGTAGTGACAGAAACAAATCCGTGGCTACCTGGGAATGGGGACTGGAAGTAGAAATGAGAGGTGATGGGTTAAAAAATTTGAGAGTGATGGAAATGTTTATCATCTTGATTGTGGTTATCATTTCATGGATGTACAAAGTAAAAAGTTATTAAATAGTACACTTTATGCAGTTTATTGTATACATTTTATGCCTCAATAAATCTATAAAAAGAAAGTTAAAAATATAAATATTAAAGAACCAAGGTAGGGAAGCTTTTATTTTGGTAGTATTTTTAAAAGATGTTTCCTCTTGAAGCTTTAAAACTTGCATTTTAAAACTTACTTAAAGAGAGTCACAAATTCAGTGTAATATCACTGGGCTGGTGCATACAAAGGCATATTTAAGTGCTCAGTTCTATAATAGCCTAGAGGAAGAAGAGAGAACAAAAAAGAAGGAAAATTATGAGAAAGAATAACTTAAGTTGAAAGTTTTGGGTTTAATAAGATGAATTAAGAACCTGACTGCTATTTATTTTCTCTGCAGTTTTCCACCTGAAATTATCAGAAGGTGACCTATATCTATTTGTGTTTGTTGTTTAGAGTCTATTTGCACTTTGTTAAAATAAACAAATTAAAAGGAAATATGCAAGTGGCATTACGTTGTTATTTTCAAACTCTGTCTTCCAAGCTTTTTGCTGATTTTTTTCTTTTTCTTTGGGTAAGTTACCAGAGCCTTGAATCTTTTTGAATTACATGGTTATTAAATTGACTGACAAGAGATTTGCAACATTTGTCTTGAAAAAGATTAGTCTATTACAGAGGTGCTTCCTAAAACTGAGTAACTCCTTAACTATAAACATTTTAGGGAAGATAGCTCTGGGAATTTATTATGTGTTCCAACATTAATACTCTACAATGTAGGTACTCCTGTTTATTGATTTCACTCTGTAAATTCAGAGATCTATCAACAGCAAGAACCAAGGAGTAAATAGAGTTACGAATGCTCCATAAATGGCTTGGGTTGCTAACAAATTACCTAGTATTAGGACCATACATTCTCTAAAAATACCTGGTACATCCATATTTTTATATCCCATATTTCCTAGAGTAGTGGCTTGATTGTAACTGGAATGCTGCATAAGTCATAATTTCAACTTGCTAATAGGCACAAAGAATTTCTTCTAGATTATAATTTTATAATCTTAGACCAAGTAAAAAACAAGTCTTTAATTTTTTTCCAGGAATATATGGCTTGTCACACTTATTTTTGGAAAGGCTATTTTGGAAAGTTAGTCTTTTAACTTATCTTCCGTTGTCTTTCCTTATGCACTGTCTGTCCTCAAGCTCCCAACCCTCTGGACTGTCACAAATATGCTCAACTTGTTTCTCTCCTTCGTTAAGCTTTTGTGACTTTGGCAAATTTTTAACCTTGAAGCTGTAGATTATATTAAGGAGCATTTTAGGCCTATAATTCTTGGAATTCTAATGGAGATACCTTGAAGGGGTGGATTAGCTATTATCTTTCTAGAAAATCACTTAGGGAATACAAATGAATGATCAAATTACTTTCCCAAAGCAATGGTCCATTTTAACTGAAATGGTGTTATTATATTACTGTCAAGTTTCTCATTAGTTCAGATGCTGAGTAATATCAACGACCTCTAGTTCTACTACTTCTTTTTCATATCATTTCCAGCACTTCATATAATATATTTTACTTGCCCTTAGAATACATGGTTATTTAAATGATGTGATTAATACTAGAACCTGATTTCTTGGCCTAATTACTGTTTTTTTCCCATTAAAAAAGTACAAGGTATTTTTTACGCAATTCAGTTTGCTTCACTGTCTTTAGTCAAGACTTGATACACATTTGCTAAATTAGAATCTATCTTAGCTTTAAAGATTCCAGCAATTTAGATAATCATCCTTGACAGTCAAGGCTGATTTTTGGTGATATTCTTTAAGAATTTTCTACTTTGTAACATAAGACTTTCTTATATATCCTTTATTGCAGTTGAAACTTATTCACTAGCTACAAAATAAAGGCTATGCGTAGATTATTATGACTCTCTGTTTTCTAAAATGGGCTATTTAATGTATTCTTCAGAATCCCTCCTAATCCTTGATCCCTTTTGGCACTTCTCTCTGAACATTTTTCCAATTTTCTCATTTCTTTTAAGGGATGAAGCTCAGAATACAACATGATAATCCAATACATGTTTGATTTATTGTGAATATAATCTTAGCTACTACTAGTTCTGCTTATTTTTTTTAAAGGCTTTTAAAAATACGCATCCCAGAATTTACTTGGATTTCTACCCATATTTTTTAATCTAATTTTTTGTCATATTTTCTTGTAACTATATGATGTGTATGTAATTTATTTTGCCTTCTTAAATTTGCTATCCTGGTAAAAAACTAAGCTTAATTTTGAGCTATTCTTTGAAGTGTTCTGTAGGATTACTGTAAAAAACTTACATTATCATTTGAAAGGAGCTCTATATATTTTATATCATTTATATCTGCTCGAGTATACAAAATGGCCTATTCTAATTTGGATAAGTTTAAATGCACTATGTTTAGGTCAATGTCATGCTTTGCCTATAGAGTATCTGCTTGCTCGAGATGAATAATATAGTCACTGAAAAATATATTTTATGCCAAATAGGACTTGAAAAGTTGTTTGGGTATATCCTCATTCATCCCTTATTTTATCCACTATACACTGCCATCAGCCTCCAATGTCATGTTCTCTAAAGTCCTTTTGATTTTCTTTGGTAGTTGCAAATGGATGTGAATGTGTTTTCATGGTAATTGTAATTGTTGATGGGAGAAATGTTTTATGTTTACATGGCTGAGTTGGTTCAAACTTTCAACACTTGCTATACTTACATGAATCATCCAAGAGTAAGATAAAAACTATTGCAATATTGTACCTGGCTAAAGTTTTTGACTATGTTCAAGTTACAAAAAATGTATTAGGGTGATGAATTAGGTCTTTCTCATTTAGTGAAATGGTTGTGTTCTATGTGAATTCCATTTTTCCTTAAACTTCAATGATAAAATCAGAGCTGTGTCTCCTACCTCCCAAGCCCAACTTCACCAAGCATGTTGGAAACATTTGAGTAAGAAAATATTAAGATGGCACCAGGTCTATTAGATAAAGAAAATGTGAGTTGTACATTTACAACAATCCACCACTCAATACTGCTTAACTTTGTGAGGTGAAATTTGGAAGATTAATATTTCATTATGATTTCTGCATCTATTTATTTAACAAGTATTAACTGAGTGTCTACTATATACTTGGCAATAAAGATTGAGAAATAACTTAGGCTTAATACCTGCCATAGAAATGTTCACATTCTAGCAGATATAAAGCAACATCAGAGTTTTGGCTGCAGTAGGTGCAGTGAGCACTGTTGTTGGTTCCTGGGTCAAATAGAATGCTTTCAAATGAGGAACTTCAAAAAATCTAGGAAGAACATCTAGAAATTAAAAAAAAGGATGACACTAACTCTCAGTATCTGAAATAAAACCCACAAATCTGAATTTACTATCTATTTAAATAAGGGGGCATTATACTGGTTAAGCATGGTCTCTGAGCAAAGCAGGCTGTTGATCTTATATAGGGTTTTCAGGAAGAGTGGTAGCCAGTCTCCAAGATGGCTCCAAGGATGTGGTTCCTGGTTCATGCTTGTGTGTATTTTTCTTCATAGTGTATCAGGTGTTACCAATAGAATATAGCAGGTACTTCATTTTTGAGTCCAGATCATAAAAGAGAGTCTGGCTTCTTCCTTGCTCTCCCTTGGGTAAGCTGCTCTGAGGAAAGCTAGCTGCCATGTCATGAGGACACTCCAGCAGCTCTTAGAGAGGTGTATGCGGTGATGAACTGAGACCTTCTGCCTACACAAATGAGTCACTGAGTTCTATGTGAGTAATACAATGTGGAAATGGAGGCTCCAGTTCAATCCTTCAGATAACTGCAGCTCTAGTGAGAGCTTGAAGGCAGTCTCATGATAGCCCCTGAGCCTGAACCACCTAGTAAAGCTACCCAGATTCCTAACTCTCAGAAATGGTGTGAGATAAATTTTTGTTGTTTTATGCCTCTAGTTTGGGGGTAATTTGTTACACAGCAGTAGATAACTAGTATAGAAAGCATGTAGGTCAGTGATTAGTGACTTTTAGCAGTGAAAGTAAAATGACACTGGATGCTGAGTGTGGTTACACAGGAAAGACTGAGTTGCTGATTAGCTTTCAGAAATGTGTTACTAGAATAAGACTTTTGTTCAGTGGTCAACTTTGAAAACCAGGAACTCCCACTGACTGGTTGGCTTTCAGAAGTGTGTTTACTAAGTTTAGCTGTCACTGGTTGATATTTAAAACCGGTTCTGAGAGTTTCTTATCACCATGATTATAGAAATATAATGGACTAATTAAATAGGTTCAAAACAAGTTCTAGTTCTAACTTGTTACCATGGCTGTAGAACTCTTAGAATATTCTTAGGAGTGTGGGGAAATGTTACACTCAAGAAACAGGGCATAAAGAAAAACAATAGGGATTGCATGTTCGTTGATATAATAGAAGCAATTAAGTATAATGCCTAGGAAAAGAGAATGAGTACATCTGGCAGTATAAAATATACATGTAGATAGATCTTGAAGTAATATTTAATAGTTATAAAATAAATCTGTATAATAGTTTGAAACGGAAATCTATTATGACTGGAGTTTTTTGAGCAAGGGGTAAACAGGGTTGGACAGCTTCACAGTTCCTTGTATCTTAATATAATTGTTGTGAAGGTTAATTTTATTTGTCAGTTTGACTGGGCTTAGGGATGCCCAGATGGCTGGTAACATTATTTCTGGGTGACGGTGTTTCTGGACCAGTTTAGCATTTAAATCAGTAGGCTAGATAAAGAAGATTTCCCTCATTGAGGCAGGTGGTCATCATCTAATCTGTTGAGGATTTAAATAGAAAAAAAGGTGGAGGAAGGGCAAATTTCCTCTATTTACTTGAGCTAGGACATCCATCTTCTCCTGCCTTGGACATCAGTGCTCCTGGTTCTTGGACTTTTGGACTTGAACCAGGACTTACACCATCAACCCCCAAGATCCTAGTCCTTTGGACTCAGACTGGGACTTATACCATTGGCTCCCCTAGTTCTCAGACCTTTGGGTTTGGACCATTAGCTTCTCTGGGACACTAGGTTACAGACAGCAGACTGTGGGACTTCTTGGTCTTTGCAATGGCATGAGCTAGTCCTTCATAATCAATTTCTTTATGTATATCTCTATATAGCCTATTGGATCTGTTCCTCTGGAAATCCCTGATGGATAAAATTACTATGATGACAAAATTGTATAATTAATGTAAAGTTAATATTTATTCACTTTATACTCTTATAAGACTCAGAGCTATACATTTTATGTGCATTTTCTCATGTTATCTTCATAATCTATATGATAGCTATTATCAAGCTCATTTTACAGAGAGAGATATTATTTCCTAAAGAGGCTAAGTAACTTGCTTGAAGTCATGCAGCTACTGAATGGTACAATCAGGATTTCATTCTAACTCTAGAGCAAACATTTCCACATTAAACTGCAAGAAATATGCTTTGTTTTGATGGAGATGATATTGAATCATCAAGAAGCTATTAAATTATAATCAGTATATTCTTTTAGAATTTAGTGAGGTGTGTATAATAATCATAAGAAAATAATGCATATGGATTTATTTATAAGGATGATAATTACAGCATTGTAGTGAAAAGAAATGTTGAAACAATGCAAATGTCCAGCAATAGGGGAATAGTTAAATAAATTATGATTCATAAAGAAGATGGAATTCCATGTGACCATTACAGTTATGTCATTGAATATTTGTAGTAAAATATGAAAAATAAATTTTAATGAAAAAAGATCACAGAATAGTATATCATGTATAATATACTCATATAGTTACATAAAATGAGTTAAGAATATATAAACTTTAATATCTAGATTTTGTGAATCCAGTGGACTTTATGTACTGTTTTAATATAACAGAAGTTTCTAATTTTTCTGCATATTCCACACATTTTGATGCACATTTATTTTTTAATGTAATAAAAGTTTGAGACTTAAAAATATTATTCTGAAATTCCATATGTTATGCCATATTCCTCAATTTAAAACTAAGCTTTATTTATTTTTATATTGTTCTTTGTTGATAAATATACATTTATCTTATTTATTTTGATTTTGCTGTTAAACTATGACAAAAAGAATATGTTTACATCAAAGTAAAATATAGCCTTTCAATGAAAAGGAGAAATGAGGCCATTTTATTATGTCATATTTCAAAACTATTTAAAAATAGTTTTACATTTTAAAATACATGTGAAATATATAATATTTATTTGAGAAATCTCTGATAGTTCTGTAAGCTTTTGAGAAACATTCCACTTATTTATCCTTATTCCCCACTGTAATTCTCAGCCCATAGTAGGTATTTGTGCATAAACTATTTAATGTGTACATGAAGGATTACTATAGCAGCTAAGCTATGTTTTCAAACTAAGGATAAATACATTTTTATTATTTATATATTGAAATTATTTGCTGTCTCTGGGTTCATTCAAAGATTGCCATAACATATGGCTGTAATGTAGTATGGCAGTTCTTTAACATTTAAATTTTTTATTTAATAAATAAAATATAAATTTACCATTGGGAGGCAAAAATCCAAGGTGAGATAAGGGCATTATTCAGTCACTCCACAAATATTTATTAAGTGTCTGTATTCAATACCCTATGATAGACATGAGGAGGATTCAAAGGTAAATAAAACATCTTCCCTCTCATGTATTGGTTTAGACTGGGTAAAAGATATATATAAATAATTAACCACAATAAAAGATAGACAGTGATGAGTGATGTAAAACAACCACACAGTGAGTGCTCCGTTGTTCTGCTAAGCAATGTTGAGAGGAAAGCTAAAGAAAACACTTTGCAAGGGAGAGGAGCATGGAGGCTGTCAACATCTTTGGAGAACAGTAAGGGCTTCTTTAACATTATTCAAAGCTCACAGAAAGAGTCCACTCAACTGAGACTGATACAGTTTTGCTCTATGTCCCCACCCAAATATTCTCTCGAATTGTAACCCCCAAGTGTCGTGGGAGGAACCTGTAATCCCTACTTGTCCAGGGAGGGAGGCGATTGGATCATCACGGAGGTTTCCCCCATGCAGTTCTCATGATGGTGTGTGAGTTCTCACGAGATCTGATGGCTTTGTAAGTGGCTGTTTCCCCTGCTCTTTACTCTCCTGCTGCCTTGTGAAGAAGGTGCCTGCTTCCCCTTCCACCAGTTGTAAGTTTCCTGAGGCCTCCCCAGCCATGTGGAACTGTGAGTCAATTAAACCTCTTTCCTTTATAAATTACCCAGCCTCAAGGAAGTTCTTTATACAAGTGTAAAAATTGACTTATACAGAGACATTCCAAGTTGGCATAACCAGCCCTTCTAAAATAATGATAATTAAAAATAATGCATTTGTTTACTAGGATTAACACTATTTCATCATACAGTGATCAACTATAATGTCCTATGCATCAATATTTTATGCATAAATTTAAAGTGGATTGCAAAAAATTTGTAAAATTGCAAACCAAGCACTTACTCTCTAATATAACCACTTTTTATTATTTTGTCATAGTTTCTTCCACGATTTTATAAAACTATTTATAACTATAGAATATTTAAACCTTGAGTGGGATATTATGCCAACTTCCTTTTGATGTTTACAGAGAGCCAGTTAGGAGGTATTAGAAGAATATTTGAATTGAGGAGCTGAGGGCACAGAGGCTAAGTGGCTTGTTCATGATCATGTCCTTAATTTTAACTGCTTTGAGGATTCAAATTCAGGGTCACATTAGGTCCATACTCCACCCCCTTCATGCACACATGCGTGCGCACACACACACGCACATGCACAATCTCCCAAACTTCCTGGCTTTTTATGAAAAGTAATTTCTCTGGGCAAAGTAAACATAACATTTGTCTATTTATTAGTCTTTATTTTTCTCTTTGTTTTCCTGAAGCTTAAAAATAGGTTGTTGGTTTTGCCCTTTGTATATTTTCTGAAGGAAAATCTGAAAGAAATACTGCCCGCTCCCCCTATTGCTTTCTTGGGAGTAGAGGTGAGTCAAAGGCCTTGGACTAAGGTACCCTAGCCTTGTAAACTTGTTGCCTGTGGACATGTTGAGTACCAACCTTTTTTGAAAGCTCTGATCATGCATTTTTGGCCCCTCAAATCTTGCTTTGTATGCCTATTTTAAGCTCAATTCCTTTACTTTTCCAACTACACATATTAAGTAGTAGGAAATAGCACTTCATTCTGAAATCTTTCATAAAACAAAACTGATACTTATTAGATGTAAATGTTGCTGAAGCTGAAAATTATTATCCCTAGGGGAGAATGATGACTTTTCCCCCACCAAGACTGCAGCATAGTGAAGTGAAGATGTTTTCACAATACTTTGGAATTTTTATAGTTGTCCTCTGTATTGTTTGACTGTCAGTTAAATTAGAACATTTGATAATTGTAGGGAGCTGATAAGACTTTCTATTAAAGGTATGTCATTATGTAAATCTCAGTTCAAATATAGTTTGCCAGAATCCTGTTTTGATTATATAATATTATAATAAATTAGCCTGTTAAATAAGCATACCTGCAGGGCATAGAACATTTTAAATGTCTTTAAAGTTAACATTAGATTAAACAGGCATGTAAATCTTATACTAAAACCATACTTGTCTTTTTTCCTTAAAGCGTTTAAAATTTGAAGCATAGATTTTTATATAAATATAGATACTTTAGACTTAAAATCAACCTATGCATATAGTTTATTTAGCTGTAGCATTTGCATACTGTGGGAAAATAGTGAATGATGAATACAAAAAAAAATGTAGAGGCTCCCAGGTTTCATTTGATATGCAAACACCTGGATACTAGAGTTATTTAATAAACATATTGACAGCTGTGTGTATAAAACACTTAAAATTTTATAAAAAATAATTTATCTTTGTGGCATGTTGCAAATAATAGATGTTCTCTAACAATTTTGACCATATTTATTTTATTTATGGATGGGAAGATCTCAGTAATCAGATCATGATTATCACATATCTGTTTTTATACATTCACATCACCGTTGTGTTCTCTTCATATTTTTGGTGGTGTGGCCCACTTTTTTTTCAGTGTAAGTTCGACACATATCTGTGCAAAAAATAATTGATTCTATCTCAGCTTATTGGAAGGAAAGGTTCAAATCTTCATTCATGTATATATTCATTTATTTAACGAATACTCTAAAGTGTATACTGTGTTATTATGTACCCAGGAATCTGTAGCAATGTAGAGACAAAAAGAATCATGGAGCAACTGGACATTGAATAGATTTCTATCTATGCAGTACACAGATGGCCTCCCAGAGTGCCTGAATTTAAAAATATGCAGAGAATAAAATGTTTTGGCACTACTGAACATTTGTGCTGGTCATAATTATTGGCACTACTGAACATTTGTGCTGGTCATAATTATGCATAATAACCTCCATCTGACAGTCTGTCTAATGGGCACCTACTATAGACTTTAATAGTAAGACTTAGAGGCAGAAGAGAAAAGTGGAAGAGATGGATGGGAGAAGAATTTTATAGCAGATGCTGGTGCCTCACTACACCTTGCCATAGGTATAGGCAAAAGTCAAGAGGATGATTTTTATCATTGGAAGTCAAAATTTCCATTAAATTCAAAACATAATTACTATATAATATACAACCTATATATGTTACCAGTACTCACTCTATAATAATAACCTGGTGTCTGTGGTTTCAGTTTCTTGTTTTAAGTTTGAGGTAATTGTAGTTCTTTTTATAATTAATTTTAATTTTTGTTTTAAGTTCTGGGGTCCATGTGCAGGATGTGCAGGTTTGTTACACAGGAAAATGTGTGCCATGGTGGTTTGCTGCACCTATCAACCCATCACCTAGGTATTAAGCCCAGCATACATTATCTATTTTTCCCAATGGTCTTCCTGTCCCCACCCCACCTCCCAGCAGGCCTCAGTGTTGTTATTTCGCTCCCTGTGTCCATGTGTTCTCATTTTTCAGCTCCTACTTATAAGGGAGAACATGTAATACTTGGTTTTCTGTTCCTGCATTAGTTTGCTGAGGATAATCCGTGTTCTTGCAAAGGACATGATCTTGTTTCTTTTTGTGGCTGCATAGTATTCTATCGTGTATATGTACCACATTTTCTTTATCTAGTCTATCATTGATGGGCATTTGGTTTGATTCCATGTCTTTGCTATTGTGAATAGTGCTGCAATGAACATACATGTGCATGTGTCTTTATAATAGAATGATTTATATTCCTTTGGGTATATACTCAGTAATGGGATTGCAGAGTCAAATGGTATTTCTGGTTCTAGATCTTTGAAGAATTGTCACACCATCTTTCACAATGGTTGAACTAATTTACATTCCCACCAACAGTGTAAAAAGATTCCTATTTCTCTACAACCTCACCAGCATCTGTTGATTCTTGACTTTTTAATAATCACCATTCTTACTGGTGTGAGATACTATCTCATTGTGGTTTCGATTTGCATTTCTCTAAAGATCAGTGATGTTGATTTTCTTTTCATATGTTTGTTGGCCATGTCAATGTCTTCTTTTGAGGAGTGTCTGTTCACATCCTTTGCCCACTTTTTAATAGGGTTTTTTGTTTTTTCCTTGTAAATTTGTTTAAGTTTCTTGTAGATTCTGGATATTAGACCTTTGTCAGATGGGTAGATTGCAAGATTTTTCACCCACTTTGTAGGTTGCCTGTTCACCCTGATGATAGTTTCTTTTGCTGTGCAGAAACTCTTTAGTTTAATCAGATCCCATTTGTCAATTTTGGCTTCGTTGCAATTGCTTTTGGTGATTTCATCATGAAATCTTTGCCCATGCCTATGTCCTGAATGGTATTGCCTAGATTTTCTTCCAGGGTTTTTATAGTTTGGGGTCTTACATTTAAGTCTTAAATCAATCTTGAGTTAATTTTTGTATAAGGTGTAAGGAAGGCATCCAGTTTCAATTTTCTGCATATGGCTAGCCAGATCTCCCAGAACTACTTAGTAATTAGGGAATCCTTTCCCCATTGCTTGTTTTTGTGAAGTTTGTCAAGGACCAGATGGTTGTAGATATTTGGTCTTATTTCTGAGTTCTCTATTATGTTCCATTGGTCTATGTGTCTGTTTTTATACAAGTACCATGCTGTTTTGGTTATTGTGGTTTTGTGGTATAGTTTCAAGTCTGGTAGCATGATGCCTCCAGCTTTGTTCTTTTTGCTTAGGATTGTCTTGGCTATAGGAGCTCTTTTTTTGGTTCCATATGAATTTTAAAATAGTTTCTTCTATAGCTGTGAAGAATCTCAATGGTAGTTTAATGGGTGTAGCATTGAACCTCTAAATTACTTTGGGCAGTATGGCCACTTTCATGATATTGACTCTTCCTTTCCATGAGCATGGAATGTTTCTCCATTTGTTTGTGTTCTCTCTGATTTCTTTGAGCAGGTTTGTAGTTCTCCTTGAAGAGGTCCTTCACTTCCCTTGTTTGCTGTATTCCTAGGTATTTTATTCTCTTTGTAGCAATTTGAATGGGAGTTCCTCCATGGTTGGTTTCTCTGCTTGCCTGTTGTTGGTGTACAAGAATGCTTGTGACTTTTGCACATTCATCTTGTATCCTGAGACCTTGCTGAAGTTCCTTGTCTGCTTAAGAAGCTTTTGGGCTGAGATGATGGGGTTTTCTAGATACAGGATCACGGCATCTGCAAACAAAGACAATTTGATGTCTTTTCTTCCTATTTGAATATCCTTCATCAGAGATATTGGCCTGAAGTTTAATTTTTTATTGAATCTCTGTCAGGTTTTGGTATCAGGATGATGCTGGCCTCATAGAATGAGTTATGGAGGAGTTCCTTCTTTTCAATTCTTTGGAGTAGTTTCAGAAGAAAGGGTATCAGCTCCTCTTGGTATTTCTGGTAGAATTTAGCTGTAAATCCATCTGGTCCTGCGTGTTTTTTCCTTGGTAGGCTATTTATTACTGCCTTAATTTCAGAACTCATTGTTGGTCTATTCAGGGATTCAACTTCTTCCTGGTTCAGTCCTGGGAGGGTGTATGTGTCCAGGAACTTATCCATTTCTTCTAGATTTTCTAGCTTATTTGTATAGAGGTGTTAATAGTATTCTCTGATGGCTGTATTTCTGTGGGGTCAGTGGTAATATCCCCTTTATCTTTTTTTATTGTGTCTATTTGATTCTTCTCTCTTCTTTACTAGTCTAGCTAGTGGTCTGTTTTATTAATTAAAAAAAAAACCATAACCTGGATTCATTGATTTTTTAAAGGGTCTTTTGGTCTCTCTCTCCTTCAGTTCCTCTATGATCTTGCTTATTTCTTATCTTCTGCTAGCTTTGGGGTTTGTTTGCTCTTGGTGGTCAGTTGTGATGTTAGGGTGTCAATTTGAGATCTTCCTAGCTTTTTGATGTGGGCATTTAGTGCTATAAATTTCCCCCTTAACACTGTTTTAGCATTTGCTAGGCTCAAGACTATATAGGTGATAATTATCATTCATCCCATAAACCACAATTGCTGTGGATAAATTCCTACAATCTTCAAGTGGCTATTTTTACAAACTTCAAAGTGCCTTCCAAAAAAAAAAAAAAAGGAAAAAGGGAAATAGAGAATGCTTTTGTTGCATTTGGCATCTGAACATATCCCCACTAGCTTGGAACCTAAATGGCAAATCATTACAGAGGAGACAGTAAAGTGTGTCTTTCTCCTGCATAACAGAGAGGGATGACTCAATTGTACAACTTTGAATGTTAAATTGTGGACCTTGAATCTAGCTGGTTTTATATACCAATCTGTGATGCACCTGTTAAAAATGTCCACTGTGATGTATAATGAATTATGTTTCTAATTTAGTCACATTAGAAGATTATTAAATTAAACTTCACTGGACTTAAGCTAACAGAATAAGGTGACACCCAGAAATATGTTCAGGTAGGATTAGTTCCAGTGGAACCAAAGTATGCCAGAACAACCAAGCTTCACAGCACCATGTCCTCCTGGCACGTAAACTGTACTTCACTTCCGATCTGACATGAGGGGATCAAAATCCATGTGCAAGAGATGAACATGCAGATAGATCTCCAGGGAATCTCTCCTCCAAGCTTTAGGGAGAATTCTAAAGGATTCTTAAGGACAAGGCCAGATCAGCCTGTGGCAAATGTTCCGACAACATGTGATCTACTGGGGTCCTTGAATTTGCAAACTGAGTAAGAAAAAAACTATTTTATGCAACTTTGCAATCTTGAATTGAGTTTTGATTAATCTCTTCATCTGCTAAAGTATGTCTAAAATAATTTGAAAATTATGTAAGTCTTCACTTCCCTGTGAAAGTCTTTCTGTTGCCTTTGTAAAACTGGAAACCATATGAGAGTCTTAGGTCTAAATCTTTTCCCTCAAAAGCCTAAAAGCAATTCCTCAGTTATTTTATATATTTAGACAGTTTTTTGTTACAGAAATTTTCAACAGACAGAATAGCAGTGAACCTCATTATCCAGCTTCGTCAGCTCTCAGCATTTTCCAGTGCTGAAAACATACCTTGCTTTCTACTTCTTCCATTCTTGTTCAAGTCACATTATTTAACTCTAGTTTGGACTATTTAAAGTCTAATAATCTTCCTCTTGCCCACCTGGTCTGTATTCCACACAAAGGCAGAAGGGTTTATAACTATGTGAATTGGATCATGCCATTTCCCTGCCTGAAATCTCCTCTAATCAATACCTAAAATTATATCATTTCTCTGTTCATGAAGTAACTCTTACCTCAAGAACTATGGCCACCTATGTTTACAGGTGTGTCCTCCACTGCTAGCCATATGGTTTCTCAGCCCTCGCCGCACACTAGAATCACCGACCTAGACAGCATTGACTAATAAGGTCTGGGGTGGGGCCCAGGCATCACTTACTGTTTTTCAGGCTACTCAGGAGATTCTAATGTATACCAAAAATTGAGAAACACTGCCTTATGAAAGAGATGAAAATGCCTGGAGCATAGAAAATACTCACCTAATAACCTTTTATTTAAACAAATGAATGCGGACTTCTAATTTATAGAGACCATGTACCAGTTTCTAAAAAAAATTATATTGAATACAAAAATAGATATTTTCTCAGGAATATATTATTTATTTAAATCTTCAGGATCACTATGTTCTGCAGTATTATTTTTAAGGCTCCATGGGGGAGGGAGGGAGACAGACAGAGAGAGAAAGAGAGAGATTGATCCCAAGATTCCTGTATCTTCATCCCTAAATGAAGAAAAATCTGTCTGGGTTGGTTAGTGCTAACCAGGTTTTTTTATGGGTCATAAGCACTCAGTCATCTGATTAGGATTCTAAATTAACTCTACTAACAGGCTTTTTTAAAATTATACTTTAAGTTCTAGGGTACATGCGCACAATGTGCAGGTTTGTTACATATATGCACATGTGCCATGTTGGTGTGCTGCACCCATTAACTCATCATTTACATTAGGTATCTCTCCTAATGCTATCCCTCCCACCTCCCTCCACCCCACGACAGGCCCCAGTGTGTGATGTTCCCCTTCCTGTGTCCAAGTGTGTACTAGCAGGCTTTTTACCCAGTTCAGCTTTTCTAGACTGAGATGGGATTTTGTACCAACCTCACTACCCAGCTCTCTGACTCTGAATAGATGAGTTTATGAAAAGCTATCCTTGCAGAGCTTATTACTACTTTACCTATAATATTACATATTCCATTATGGAATATTCTATTATTAGTCTCATCCCTGACTCCTTTTTTCCAATTTTGGTTGCAATTTATGATTAGATGTAGGGTGAACATTGCTGTTAGGTGGAAAAATTTAGAAAAATACTCTGCCTATTCTAAAAAAAAGCAGGAGCCACAAAACAGAGTAACAATCATTTGGTGTTCTAGCAAGGATGTTCCTGCTGTCTTCCTTGTGAATATTTCCATTTATTATGTGATTTACAGAAAGAATTATAAAACACACTTACCACTGTGATCATTTCCATAATACCGAGGCAAGCAATACATAGATACTTTCTTTTTCATTTTGCATAGTAGAAAACTGAAGTTTAAAGAATGATGTCTTGCACAAGATTCCCCAGTCAGTGGATGGCAGGTTCTCTTTCATATAGTGGTATCATCAATTACAAAGAATGATGAGCAAGAAATGGTGATTGAGCTTTCTTCAGAAGCCAATGATTGCAATGTAATTTTTCTAGGTAACCTGAAAACTTCAAATGTTCAAGGCTATCCTTCTCTACATGCATTTTTAAATATGATGAAACTGTGACATGATGGCATTTTAATCAAAGTATCCATTTCTTTTTCCAGCATAATTGACATTTTTAGAAGTCATATAAAGTGAGTTTATTTTCAGCCAGATACAAATACTATGGAACATAAATGAAAAATAAGAATTATGAAAGAAAATATAGATAGCTGGATCTATGTTACAAAATATAGTTTTATTATATTTGATGCAAAGTATTTTTCTTCATGAATCTACAAGCCAGAGAGGGTTTTTTACCTTGCTTCAATATACCTGATATTTTTTCTCTGTGACTTATCGTCCTATAAAAATCAATTAAAACTTTTAATCTATTAAATTTTATATTTGAGACTTCCGATTATTCTATCAGTGTGAGAATAAAATTCTTAAATAGGTATATTGTTGCTAGAAGGAGAAATCTTATTTTTTAATTTTTAAAAAATTTTGAATTTTTTTACTTATAAAGATTAATGACATAAATCTTAGTTATATAATTGAAAAATATCTATAAAATACAGAAAATTATCATGGGGGCACTTAAAAAGGGAGAGGAAAAGATAAAATGAAAGTATTAAATTTTTATCGTAAGGACTATAATGGACAAACTCTGAGTGTATCGATGATTATTTATTTCACTAATATATGGCTCTGTGCACTCTCTCAGGTTCACATCTCTGCTTTCCAAAACTGCTTTTCTCTCATAGTGGGACTCAAATGAATGTACCATGAATCAGAGACTGAAATTCAGACCTTAGCATTCTTATATAATAGAAAAACTGTCATCGTGAAAGGAAATCTCTTACTCCTGAGGTAATTTGAGGCATCGGTTTTGGGCAAAATCATCTTTTATGAAGAAGATACAGTAGAATTGACCACATACTTTGGTGATATTCAGAATGTATTGGAGCTCTATGTCCTTAAGCAATTGGATGAAGAGAGGAGAATTCTCTGAATTTACTCATTAATTGTTCCTCAATCCTCTGTCAGGAAAACATTCATTATAAGAGAGGAGATGATAAATAAGACGGGTTTAAAATATAAGAGAAATCAAACCAATTCTTTTGTGTGGCATTTGTCATTTTCAAAAATGTGCATTTTAAAAAACCACTGGATCTCAAGCAAGACTTTGCATTAATACTAGAACTAGAAATGTTTTTATAACATGCCTAGAGGAAAATTCTTTGTTATGGCTTCACTGAATACTCATTAATTTTGTAACAGAAGAAGAGAGTTGATAGCAATTTTGCACCTATCTCCAGATGCATGAAATGTTTAGTTATTTTAAGGTAAGAAATTCTCACATGTCAACATTTCAGTGAATTTAACAAAAATGTTTAGTTTCTGTAAGGAGAATTTAATGTTTAATAGTCAGAGGTATCAAAATTCTCCACTAGTTAATGAAGTTTATTTAAAAAATATAAGCACGTGAATAAGCTATATTTTTATTTTTAAATATTTCAAAAACAGAGAAACATGGAGACATGTAATGAACACTCACCTATTCACAGCCCAAATCGAACTCTGTAAATTTTGTTTAGACACTGCTCTTTGTTTTACTTTTCTCTATTTCATTGATTTTTCCTTATTAAAGTCTTGATATAGAGCATGCAGAAGAAGAGTACTCCTAGGAACTGTGTCAGCCATTTTTATTATTCTTCCTAGTGTGTGTGTGGTTCTGAGCAGCCACGGCAGATGGCATCCTGGCATTTGCACTCCCCTGCCCACCCTATCTCAGCGTCAGCCTCTGCTCCCCGCTACAGGTTTAGCTGAGGTTCCCATTATCTCCTGGACAGTCGCTCTGGGCTCCACCCGATTTCTTTCCCACTAGATTCCTTTTTCAATCTATTCTCCTTACTTCTTCCTGAGTTAGTCTCTTTAACAGGCAAAGCTGATTTCAGCATTTGCTTGTTTTCACATCTTCTGTATTGTCATTGCCCAAATGAGTAGTTTCTAAAATAGGGTAAACAGACATAGAATGAACTATTAGGTAGGAAAAGGCAATCTTAGCATTTCTATTTGAAATTGTTATCTTGTATTTTTGAAATTTGTACTTTTAATGTGTGTTTTATAATGTGCATACATGTTCATCTATACACAGATAAATATGAGTATACTGGGGGATTCATGCTAATGGAGGTGAACAATAAAAGATTTTAGAGACCACTGGCTTTGAAAACAAAACTCAGACTCCTTCACAGTCTGATCCTGGCAGCTTTCTCTCCACTCCATCACCCACCACTCTCCTACCTCCTTGCCACTCTGAACTTTTTAACTTTCCCTGGGCATGCCTTAGCACATGTTCCCTCTTACAGAAAAGCCCTGCTCTCCTTCTGGACTGGAAACTCCTTCACATACATTAACTAAATCTAAAACATGACACCATGATATAAAACATTAAGATTTCTGTAGTTGCTGCCTCCTCTGAATTTGCATACTCCATTATTCAGACATTTTGAAAACACTTAGCACAGCACATTATGATTTAGATCTATACATATCTGTCTTTTGAGTCCTATACTGAACTATGGAAGGTGGGAGCCATATCTTATTAATCTTTCTATCTACAGCACCTCACATGTTACTGCTACATCACAAGTGCTCAGTAAATAGTTTTGAATGAGTGAGTAGAAGAAATGTGAGATTGTACTACAGAGGTACTACTACTGCTTATAACCAACAGTAAGGCAAACAAATATATGGTTTGAAATTTGGTCAGTGCACAATGACTCAAAGAAGATGTCAGAATACAAATATAAGAATTAGGACCCTTTGGGAGGGGTCTAGGTAATCTACAGTTGGTTTTTTAATGGTCAAAAAATAAAAAGATATTATAATTTAAGTACTGTAGGGAAGAAAACCTCACTAGCCTTATTTTCAAGTTTTGAGGAATTTCTTAGGCTCAGGGTGGCCTGGGCTTGTACTTTTTTCTCCATGGGACTCAAAGATATAACTATTAGACCAGCATATCTACTGTGGGGCCACCTCCCTTGTATTCCTTTATCTGTTCTCCAAGATTGATTGCAGAGTGGCAAGGTGAGCAAGTGTGGGAAGACTGAAGAATTTTACACACACACACACACACACACACACACAAACACACACACTAAATGTTACATGTTTTAAGAAATACGTGTAAAGATCTATGAAGACATTTAAAATATATGATGATATCCATCTAAAAAGACTATATAGCTTAATTATATGATACTTTTAAAAACCCACATATCTTAGCTGAGACCTTCAGTTCTGAAGTAGAAAAAAAGAACAATCTGGGCTCAATCTCAGCTCCATTGCTACAGTTGTGTGTCATAGGACATAGTATTTATTTTCCTTAGCACTAGTTTTTAAAAATTGATAAAACAGTATTGTGTTGATTGAATAATGTAAGATATTTAAGTAACATAGCATAGTACCCAATTAAAAATACCTAATAATTGTCAGTCATTTTTATTATTCTTCCTAGTAAATGTAAGTACTTTTCTTAATCTAATAAAATTAATTTTAAGGTGAACTAGAAATATTAACCTAGTGAAAAACATCTTGGAAATTCCTTTCCTTTGCTTTTTCTTCTCTTTGTCTGGGTGAAATATTTGATCAATAAATTTTATTTTTCTATATAGTTGAAAAGTGATTTATTTATTTCAGTCTCTGTTAATGTTGCCAAGTAAATTTTCATTCCCAAATACAAATTAGTTAATACATAATTTGTCACCCAAAAGAAGACTTGACACATAGTGAGCACTCAAAAAATGTTAGCTACAACTAGCTCTTTTACTGACAGATTTTTCACCTTCTTTCATAACCAAAATATGTGTAAAAATACAAACATATTTTGAACTGTTAAACAATTCTGTTTTCTGCAACAGAACTGTAATGAACAAAGTCTGTATTTTGCTTTAAAATACACTAAAATATTAGTCATGTAAAAATGATATTTGAAAAACATTGTAGAAAAAAATTGCTGCTAAATACTATTGAAAGTGAAGTATTGAGGATACCTGAGTTTTATAAATTTCAGGGATATTGCAATAGAAGTGCTATGATGTAATAGGTGATTTTGATGAACTTCAGTTTTTTTGAAAAGACCATTGTTAGAAACAGGATGCCCATATCAATGGCAACAAAGAAGACAACTCTTAGCTTTTAGAAACACAAGAAGATTATTAATTTTATTTCTTTTTCTTTTCTAGAATTTAAAACAGCAACAGAAAAGAGTTTTGCTCATTTGTTCACCACAATATTATACATATCCAATATAAAAATTAAAATCCAGTGAGGTGAAATCAATCAATAACATCTATCCTGTTGAAGGGTTAGGAATAGGTCCTTTGTCTATGTTAACTATTGGCCAGCACTAACATAGCTTTGTTAAGACAGTCACCTAAAGCCACAAAATTTCATCTTCATCAGATATCATTAGATAAAGATAGAAGTCTGACTTTTTACTAATTTTAGCCTAAATGTCATTGAAAATAGCTCTTCATAAGGCAAAGGTACAAGAGCAATTTGCCTGTTAAAAAAAAAAGTGTGACAATGTGAATGCTACTGTTAATATCCTTGATCTTGAATTCCAGTATATAGAAATACAAATTTTTCATGACAAGCCAGTGGTTTATAAATTACAAAATGAAAATATTACATAAATTTTAGTTATTTATATTAGAATATATATCATATATTGATATATAATATGAAAAAATATATAAAAATATTTAAATACACACACACACACACACACAGGTGTGTGTATATATATATTTGTGGAACAATCTCCGTCCAAGAGGGAAAGCTTATTTTGATAATTTAAGGCCACCTTGTTTGCTATATAAATATGGTCTATAAATATAGTACTATAAATAGTATTAGTTAAAATTGTGGTTTGAAGGAGTGCTAGGGTGCAAATGGGAGCAGTTTGGGACCTTTTGGCTGTGAGAACTGTGGGGTTTTTTGTTTGTTTGTTTGTTTGTTTGTTTGTTTTAAATGGAGCCTTGCTCTGTAGCCCAGGCTGGAGTGGAGTGGCGCAATCTCGGCTCACTGCAACCTCTGCCTCCCGGGTTCAAGCAGTTCTCTGCCTCAGCCCTCCAAATAGCTTGGATTACAGTTGCCCACCGCCATGCCTGGCTAATTTTTGTATTTTCAGTAGAGACGGGGTTTCACCATCCTGGCTAGACTGGTCTTGAACTCCTGATCTCGTGATCCACCTGCCTTGGCCTGCCAAAGTGCTGGGATTACAGGCATGAGCCACCGGGCCAGGCCAAGAACTGATTCTTTTACCAGGCTGTGCTACTGGATGCAGTGTGAATAAGGCCAGCTGGCAGGAGAGGTAGAGACCAATAACAGGCTATTGCTGCTGCCTGCTTATCCTCTCTGTGCTACTGCTTCACTACCGAGGCTTTTGCTGCTTTTAGAGAGGGAGTGTGGAGGGTCTTCATAAATGGTGGAGGAAACACCAGGGAGAACAGGAATATTTTCAGCATCCCAGCTCATTAGGCAGAATTCAGAGCTGTTCAGAAGCGTTTGCACACACTATTCTTTCTCTTTTATTTATAAAAACAGTTACACCCTATGTCACCACACAAATTTCCAACTGACTTCAAAAAGGGAGTTGGTGAAGAAACTTCAAAAAGTTTTCTGCTATCCTTTGTTTTGTTGTTTGCCAGTTGGGCGTTCACAAAATAGAACAAAAGCAGCCCCGTGATTTCTACTTAGTGAAATGCCAGATTGATAATTGCTGGACTATTTGCCACATCCTATGACTCAGCGTGCAGCCATCGGGAGTGCCAAAATATCTGAGTGGAGGCCATTCTGGTGTGGGCCATGAATTCCTGGGCTAGAGGATGACTGGCATGGGCCACAGTCCAACCCCTGCTAAGCCTTTCAGTCTGTCAATTCACACATGCTTCCTTGCACCCATCCTAGAGTCATTTGTAACATCTGAGGCCCCATCTTGACTGACCTTTTGTGCATCTTCAGTAAATATTTTCTGATCTGGCTTCTCACTCACTGGATCATTTCCAAAGGCCTTGGAAGTAGCCCAAGACCTCTGCTGGTAGGGAGCCCATCCTTATTTTCCAGAATGACATGGGGCAGTATTTCCACCATCTTCAAGAGTGTTATGGAGAGTTGTTGATCATTTTATGTAACTTTACCTGGTTTGGAAAATAGAAGTATTTGCAGAAAGTAATTTTGTTAAAGGTTGCGATGTGTACACAAAATGTTGAACAGCTAGGTTGAAGCAAGGTGGGGTTTTTCTTGAATGACATAAAAAAACACGTCTAGACCTCCCTGCCTTTTCTTTCATATTATGTACCAGCTGCTAGACTTCTGGTGAACCTGAGAGCATCAGCTGGGGAGATGTCTGCTCTTAAAGAACAGCAGTTGTGTTTCTCTGCTATGGTATTATCTAAAAAAAGAAAAAGAAAAGCCTCAAATGATAATTTTTTTTACCTTTTATAACCTAATATTCAATGATATGTGTACACATACATAAACACAAACATACTGAGGATAATAATCAAAAACATATTTGGAACTTATTAGAACCTTAAATTTAAACAAATTTCCAAGTTCTTTAAGACTCACCTCCTGTTGTTATAGTACCAGAGAATGGGGATTGAGTGACTGCTAAAGCTGTTTCTTAAAATTGCCTGATTTCTAATGGGTATTTCTTATGAGATAGGAACAAAAGGCATTCAGAGGTAAAAGAAACAACACCACAGTTTTGTTCATTTAAATTCAGATGGCGTAGTATATCAGTTTAGGAGAAGCTCTTGTAGCTTTCAGGATGACATATCTTATGCCTCTTATCAATATTTATGCTTCGTCAATTATTTTATAACCAGTTTACTTTTCACATTTTAGATATGATAATCACCTATTTCATACATTCATAGTTCATTTTCTTTATTACTCCATATGTCACAATAAGTTGGTTTAATTTTAAGTAGAAAAATACCTGGTTTTCCTGGCATTATTTTTTTGTAAATTGACAATTTGTAATTGTATAAATTTATGGGGTACAAAATGAAAGGAGAAATACAAATGACCAAGAAACATATAAAAAAGATAAACATCACTAATCATCAGAGAAATGCAAATAAGAACCACCATCTTCCACCAGTCAGAATGGCTGTTATTAAAAAGTCAAAAAACAGCAGATGTTGGTGAGGCTATAGAGAAAACGGAATGCTTATACACTGTAGGTGGGAATGTAAATTAGTACAACAAAACTGTATGGAGATATCTCAAAGAACTAAAAATAGAAATACCCTTTGATCCAGCAATCCCACTACTGGGGATCTACCCAAAGGAAAATAAATTATATAAAAAATCCTGTGTTTATATGTTTATTGTAGCACTAGTCACCATAGCAAAGCCATGAAATCAACCTAAGTGTCCATCAACTGTTCCAAACTGACTGTTCATCACTGTTCATCATCCAAAGATTATTGCATTAAAAATGTGGTACATATACACTATGTAATACAACTCAGGCATAACAAAGAATGAAATCATCATGTCTTTTGCAGCAGCATGGATGAAACTGGAGGCCACTGTCCTTAGTGAAATGACTCAATAACAGAAAATTAAAAAAAAATCCGTTTCCACTTTTAAGTGGGAGCTAATCAATGGGTACATGGACATTGAGTGGAATAATAGGCACTGGAGACTCCAAATGGTGGGGCACCAGGGGGAGGGATGAAATATCACCTGTTGAATACATTGTATACTACTTGGGTGGACAATGTACACTAAAAGCCCAGCTTTCACCACTACTCAATATAATCATGTAACACAACTGCACTTGTACCCTTAAATCCATAAAAATTTGTTTAAAAATTAATTTCAAAATGATGTTACAATTTATGAATGCAGTGTAGAATAATTAAATTGAAAATTAACTGTTAGACTGTGATATGGTTTAGCTGGACCCAAATCCCACCTTGAATTGTAGCCTCCATAATTCCCAAGAGCTGTGGGAGGGACCTGGGGGGGGATAATTGAATCATGGTGGTGGTTTCCCCCATACTGTTCTCATCGTAGTGAGTAAGTCTCACGAAGTCTGATGGCTTTAAAAGGGGAAACCTCTTTCACTTGGCTCTCATTCTATCTTGCCTGCCACCATGTAAAACGTGCCTTTCGCCTTCCACCATGATCATGAGGCCTCCCCAGCCTTCACTTGGCTCTCATTCTATCTTGCCTGCCACCATGTAAAACGTGCCTTTCGCCTTCCACCATGATCATGAGGCCTCCCCAGCCATGTGGGACTGTGAGTCCATTAAACCTGTTTTTCTTCATAAATTACCCAGTCTTGGGTATGTCTTTATCAGCAGCGTGAAAACAGACTAATACAGACTGTTAGAATTTAATTATCTAGATAACTAACATCTACCTCAGATTTTTGAAAAGTAGGCATCTTAGTAGAAAACATTGAAAATATTACAGCTGCTATAATTCAAGGAATTCATCAATAAATAATTCAGTTTGTGTGCTGTGTGATGATCATGACACTGGTCATGTCATATATTCTGCTTTGGCTTAAAGACATGTATTTTTTCACTTTGCTCTGAGAATAGAGACTAAAGTCCTTACTAGGACCTGTAACCCCTTGCCTCCTTACAGAGCACTCTGATATTCTCAGTGTTCTATCTATACAGGTCTTCCTAAGTCTCTTGCTTTTCCCATGCTCCCTCTTGCCACAGGACCTTCATATGTGATGTCCGCTCTATGTTGAATGCTCTTCCTTCTTCCTTACTGGTTTATTCTATTCATTCTTCAGATCTCTCTTCAAGTGTCAGTTTCTCAACACAGCCTTTTCTTACCTCCCTGACTGGTGGTAATATTCAATATTATGGGCTCACTACTATACCCTAGCATTTGTCACCATATCATGTTTATATGTCTATATTATTATAATTGTCTCCCTTCCTAGAAATGAATCCCACAGGGTCAGAGACTTTGATTTGCTCACTATTAAATACATTGTGCCTGACAGTTCCTGGCTAAGGGTAGAACACGTATGTTCAATGGGAATGATATTTTCTTCAAGGAAGCAAACTTGGTTCTTAAGAGAGTGAAAAAATCTTGGCTATTACAATGATTTGTGAACTTCCAAAGGGCCAAAGTTCATAAAAATAAGAACAGCATATCTGTGGTATTATAATTTCATGATAATATCAAAATAGAGGATAGAGGAAGGAAGGGGTTTAAGGAGAAAGGGATATATATATATTTACATATATGGAGATAAATATATATATATATATATATGAAGATATATATATATATGGAGAGAGATATATCTGGAGCATATATATATATATATATATATGCTCCTTAGGAGGTGAAAATTTAAAAAGGGTTGAAAAATACTGACATGGATGATCAATAAATATTTATTGAAATAATAGATGAATAAAACAAGTTTGTGACTTTAATATTCCTGTCCTGCACATCATTTCAGAAGCTATTCAGAGCTATTTCAGAAGCATATTTCAACATTAAGTGACTGATTTTGAATTTTCTTGAGGCTTTTCAAATTTTATTTTCTATCCCTTTCTTTAGTCTTTGAGGGTCAGCTATTACTTATTCTTTTTTTTTTATTATACTTTAAGTTCTAGGGTACATGTGCACAATGTGCAGGTTTGATACATAGGTATGCATGTGCCATGTTAGTTTGCTGCCTCCATCAACTTATAATTTACATTAGGTATTTCTCCTAATGCTATCCCTCCCCCAGCCCCCCATCCCCTGACAGGCCCCAGTGTGTGATGTTCTTCTTGCGTGTTTACTTATCTCCATCTCTAATGTCTTGGGAGCTAAGAAAACAAATAACAAACCAAGAAAAGTGTTTAAAATGAAGGCTAAGCGGCTGTAGAATGAGGACCTAGGAAGTTCCTGTTTGACTTAATTCAGTGATCAACAAACCCTTCAAGCACTCTACTAGGAACTGTTTGTTGTGTATATTATGACTTTATGCAATTTGATTCAGCTGCTTAGAAGCTTTCTTCTTTTTTTTCCTTTCTTTTTTGGCCTAATTTTTCTTCTCTTCTGGACATGAAAATTTACCAGACAGGAGACTCCTAAATGAATGAGCTCTCATTTTATTCCAAAACATAATTTTCTGTTTCAAGGTGGAACAGTTTTATACATTTCCTGAATTGTTGCTTCTCCATAATGGGAAATTTTAGCAAATACTTTCAGTTTGTTAGATCTTTAAAATTATGCTTGCTATATAGAATACAGATTGGTGTCTGTGTCTGTTAAATATATTTCTCTACGAAATATATTTCTCTGCTTTCTCTAGAGGACACTTTGTTATTAACCGGTTAATTCATATTTTTCCATAAACATTTGCTATAAAAAGCCTTATATTTGTATACATATTTTCTGTACAATTCTTTTTGTACACCCTTGGAGACTACATTCTTTTCTTTCATTTATAGACTCCAAACGCTGTCCTATCTATGGTCACTAACTGTACTTTTTGTTCCATATCTGATTTAATTTTGTTCCTTTAGCTTTCACCAGCTGCTAGACTTCTGTATTTTACACTCCAAGAAATAAACACCACCTTTCCTATAGAGCATTTCTGATATTGTCTTCTAGCTCTGTATTCATGTATTGAAACTTTTCATAATATCTCCACCTCTTGTGTATTGCAAAGTTTTTAGTAAAGATTATTCAGACATAACGTTTGAACTCTCAGGGTACTCTTGTTTGAGAGTCAAGAGCCCAGAAACTTTTCTGTGAGTTTCCATCTGGTTAATATTTTCTAGCAGAGTTTAGAAATAGAAGTCAAAGGTCAAACATTTAGAGTCTAGGGAGGTCTTAACTAAATCCATGCTTTGATAGTGGCCATTTGCACCACTATACTGATTGATTTTCTATGTTGATTTGTCTGATAAAGGCGTGGCAGCTGGGGTTGCCTCTATCTACTCAGTTCTGTCTCCATAAATCTGGATACATACCTGAGTGAATCTGAACAATGTTGCAAGGTGTATCGAAGAACATGTGTCTCTTTAGTGCTCCCAAGAGGTGAGAGTTCTTTAAGGGAAGAAATTCTGTCTTACTCTGTGTATCCATCTTTTTATCCATTTTGCTTGACAGGGTGCCTAGCAAATATTAAGCACTTAATAAATGCTTGCTAATACTTGATAATTAAAGAAATATTTATTTGGTTGTTTGTCTGTGCTTGACTCATTTCTCTCCTTCATCAGCACCATTTACTTCCTAACTAATTCACTCTTTAATTCTGCTATATGGTTGTGAATATTTAAAAAATGAAAAATTGAAAATGTTTAATTGCTTTTCCATAATGTATTATCTGTGACATCAACTACCTAATCAATATTTTACCTCTAATTGAATTTGCACACATAGGGACATTATAAATGATGTCTTACGCACTCAGTTTTGCCTTCTGAATCCTCGAAGCTGTTCCTTTTTCCTCCATCTGTCCCATTATGCTCTGGATTTGATGATGATGCTACTATCAGCAATGGCAGGCATATTCATAGGATGAGTGAAAGACTCATACAGGAACTGATCACTAATTAGCAATGCATTTCCCATAGTGAAAAATTGGCCTAAAGTTTCAAGAAAAAAAAAATAGAGTAGCTGAGGCTGAAAATTAGTCTGCCAGTTCAGGCCCATAGCAAATTGCTATTGCTCTCAAACTCAGCATCTTTACGATGGATAATTGAAGATCCTTTAAACTAAAACATTGTAAATGGCATAACTATGATGATCCTATTTGGAATTCAGCCCTTGTTTTCAAGGATTTACTGTTTTGAAAAATGTTTGATAAATTTATTGCAGAAGAGAAAATACTTCTGCCAACTACGTAAGTGCTTTGGACATAATTTGTATTCCTGCTGTTACATGCAGGAACTTGTGCCAGAGGAAAAAAAGTAAAAAGAAATTTTGTTTGGAAAGAAATCAGCAATCTGGAAAGGTAGTTTCAATCTATAAATATCTCTCTTAAGGAGAATTGAACACCAGCTAAATTCAGTCTTAAGAAATAAAACACTGAAGATAATCAAAATATTTCATTCACTTAAAAATGCTTATGCTGGATATGTTTGTGATGCACTTTTAAATACGAATGACATCTGAGGATTACGATAAATTATTTTATAAGTGAAAAATATAAAGCCAGTACATCTTCTGTATTGTAAAATGCAAGTACCATGCTGAATTGGAAATAACATGTGATAGAGTTGAGAGAACTTGATTAACATCCTGGTTTGGTCATTTACTAGGCATTGAAAAACCTCATTTATGAAATGAAATGAACTACTCCAAAGTTGTGAGGTTTAGATAAAACCTTTTTTGTGAAACTGCTTTGCAATTTGTGAAGCACCATAAAAATAAAGGCATAATTTATTTTAAATAGTTATACGACATAGGATACTCCAACTACAGACTTCCTAGTTAAGTTTCTAGTAACTACAGCGTTCCATTTGTTTAGTAAAGCATTGTTACACAATTTCTAATTTTGGTTTATAATATATTGATCCCCAACATGATTATGTCACAAAAAAAGGAACATTGTTTATTGAATGTACATAAGTGTCATTAAGTCAGTATTCTCTCCTCTCTTATTCTGTCTCATTCCTTTGTAAGCCAAACCCCTTCACCTTCATGGGAAGAAATAATTGATCATGGCCTAGAGTTAGTATTAGATATATGTTTGAAAACACAGTTTCAGAACCAACAGATATCCACCAAAATGGTTTATAACCTGTGAATATTAATTTCTGAGGTACACTTATTTTTTTCTAAACTCACATGAACATAAACTCCCTTATATATTTTGTGACCTTAGGCCCCCATCACTGATTCTTCTTTATTGAATTTCTACAAAGGTATGGGTAGAAGATCAAAAGGAATATCTATTTTTCTAGATCCCCACAATAGGATCTAGTGTTGTCCTGTTATTGAGCATATAGAAAAATGAGAGCCAGTGGAAAAGAGGAACCCAAGAACCTTAATATTGTTTTGTGCCTTAATGGAATTCACCAAGTTCTGAATTTCAAGAATGTATTATTTCTATTCTTTTTTCACCTCTGTCAATGGCAATAACAACTGCAAGAAAAATATTATAATTCAGACCAAATTATCCATAGAGTTGTCATGAAAAATTACAACTTATATCCGTGTATCAACATTTCCCTATAAAAAGTTCTATTTCCACATCATCCAATTGAACATTATAGTTTTGTGTTAAAAATATAATTAATGTTTAAAGTTGCATGGACAAAATGCTCTCAATATCCTAGAATCTAATCAACCTTTATAAAAGGAATCTTCAAATTGTGCTAAGTTTTCATGGAGTATTTGTTGGGAAAGTTGTCATTTTCATTAGCAGTGCTGAAAAATAATCATTCAGAAACAGATTCATTACTCTAAAATTATTATACTTTCTTAACTCATTTTGTAAGCAAAATATCTACCTAACCATTGAAATGTAATGTTTGATACCTGCATTTTAAATCATACTTTCATTGTACTTTGAATCTGCAGCATTGTTCTGGTCATCTTCACAGCAAAGGTAAATATATTTCCATGAGATGTTTGCTAGTCTATATAGTGACACAATCAACTTATTTATCACATAAATATTGATTAAAAAACTGGACTACAAATATCTGGATCAAACATATATGGTCCTTAACTAAATGTTTATGGTCAAATATCAGGGAAATTCTGAATCTCCTGAAATTGTGTGAAAAAATGATTGCCTCTCTCTCTCTTTAGAAGTGTTTACTGGTAGGGACTGGATTCTCAAAGTCTGTCAGCCACTAAAATATAAAGACCATTCTAAATAATATATATGAATTTAAAAGTTATATTTATTTTCTTATTTGGCAAAACCATAAATGTTTCCCTATGTCTTCTTGAATTAATTTGAATACTGTGAATTCATAGAATATTTGCTTTGCATCTGCCTTAGACATCTGTAACATTCTACTTGTATTATCTTTTTGGGGGGACTTACATCATCGTATCCCTTCTCCTGGTTGTAAGGTTTTTGAGGGTGGGCCTATCTTATTCATCTAAATTTAGCACAGCTAGAAAGATCTAAAGAGATATGCGTTAAATTATTTATTGTGAATGTATTGAGCACACAGACACTCTTTTAGGAATTGCTGATAAAAAACAAGCAAGTCACCCCTTTTAATAGATGTGAAAAGTACTACAGCAAAGTATACAGCAATAGCATATGACAGGGCACTCTGGTTTCCTTCTGTAGACATAGTCTGTCATAAGAATTAGTCTATACAGCTTTACATGAGATTTGTGGATAAACCTAATTTCTTTTCCATTAATAATGTTAAAAATTATTGAGTGCTTCTTTCCTTCACCATCATTTGGCCATGCCTAATTTATCATGTTAAACTTTTTAATATTTATTGACTTTAATATTATGCCATTAATCTATCATTTAGTTGTCACTCAATGATATATTAATTTAGTTATTTTTGCCTCATAATGTATTTTAATATACAGAAGGGCTGGTGGTATTAACCTGTCATTCGTTTTTCTGAATATTCTCTCATATTCTCAACTACAAGTTATCAAAAATTGAATTTAAAACAAAAACATTATGTTAAGATTTTTATTTTGATTTCTATTTATATTGGTTAGGAATGTATGTGGCTGGAAATAGTGGAACCCAGAAAGGCAGCTCTTAAAATATATGAATGTATCTCATGCCACGTGAAGTCTGCATGTAGACAATCTAGAATTAGTGTCATAACTCCATGGTGCCATAAGGCACTCACATTGTCCCTATTTTCCACTCTTTCACCTTTAACTTTTAAGGCTTTGTTTTTAAGCTTCTCGCCTTAAGATAGCTCACGTACCATTATAATTTAAGGTCCATGTTCTAAGCAGAAGGATGTAGGAAGAAGCAAAAAGAAAAAACAAAAACCCAAACAAAAAAAAAAAACCTATTCCTGATGTCCCAGGGACTCTAACCTACTCACATTCTCTTCTCTCATTGACCATAATAGTGTTACATGACATCATAAGCAGTGGAGGCCAGAGAATTGAGTAGTAGAGATTTTTAGCTTCTAAAGTTAAAAAACATAAGCAACAAAAGTATTGATAATGCTTTTCTACCGCCAATCCAGAGTCTGCAATTGTATTTCATTAAATTATGAAATATTTGTTGTGTGTGTATGTGTGTGCATGTGTGTGTGTCCACCCTTAAAATGACAGGGTGTTTTTCTACATAAATTCTAGCCTTTTCATATACTCTCTCAAAAAGGATAACAATTAGAATTTATTGAAGAGAACTTGCTACGATTTAGGCACTGTGCTAAGCACTTTGCATATATTAATTTATAAGTAACCCCATGAGGTAAAATAAGCTATTATTTCTGTCTTACAAATGAGGAAACTGAGACACAGGGTAATTAAGCAGCCTGCCAGAAGTTGCATTCAGAGCATGAAGATGGCAGGATTCAGGCCCATACAATCTGACTCCACAGTCTGTGCTCTTAATCGTTACTAGAAGTTGCCCATTTTTGAAGAACAGGGTGAGGGCAAAGAAATGGTACTTTTAAAAAATGTAATTACAAATGCCTTTCATCTATTTTTAGTGTCTTTTATATTTACATTTTTGTTGCTATTTGAGGCAGAGCTCTATAACCCTCCTTCTATCACTCTTTTTTTCTTGTTTTGTTTCTTATCTTTTCTTCACTCTCTCCCTTCCTCCCAACCTCCCTTCCTCCTGGCCTTGTGTCTCTCTTCCTGTGTTCCCTATTCTTCCACTTCGTCTAATTAATACGTATTTATGAAGCTATTGTTTGTTGTATTATCTGTAGTTCTCATGGATGTTAATTCCAGTGGGAACCAAAACCTGCTAGGGAGGAGTCATTATTTTAAGTAGGGTGGTGTGAAAAGACCTCACTAAGAGGATGATGTTTGAGAAAAGACCTGAAGGAATGGAAGGAGGCACCATATGACTCAGAGACAAGAGCCTTGAGAATATTTATGAATGTTACTCTATTCATAAGTATGAAACTACATATGCACAAGTTTATTTACTATGTCATTATTTGTAACAGCAAAAGATTGGAAATAAGCCAAATATCCATCAAGAATAAAATATGGGACCAGGCACGGTTGCTCATGCTTGTAATCCCAGAACTTTGGGAGGCTGAGGCAGGAAGATCACTTAAGCCAAGTAGTTCAAGCCCAGCCTGGGCAACATAGTGAGACCTTGTCTCTACTAAAAACAAACAAAAATAAAAAGAAAACAACAACAACAAAAACTAGCCATGCATGGTGATGTATGCCTGTAGTCCCAGCTGCTCAGGAGAATGAGTCAGGAGGATCACTTGAGCCCTGGAGTTTGAGGCTGCAGTGAGCCATGAGTGTGCCTCTGCACTGTAGCCTGGGCAACATAGCTAGACCCTGTCTCAAAAAAAATAATAATAAAGTATAGTACATCTACACACTGGAACATTAATCTGTCAAAAAACAATGCAATAATAAACTATCCAGAAAGTACATTAAGAAAACAATTCTGTTTACAATAACATCACAAAGAATAAAGCTTAGTTAAGGAGGTGAAAGACTAACATACTGAAAAACTATAGATCATTGATGAAAGAAACAAGACACACACATAAAGTAGAAACACATCCTGTGTTCATGGATTGGAAGATATAATATTTATTGTTAACATGTCTATACTAGCAAAGTGACCTACGGATTCAATGTATCTCTATCAAAATCCCAATGACATTTTTCACAGAAAAAGAAAAAAATTCTATAATTCATATGAAACTACAAAAGACCACAAATAAACAATCAATCTTGAGAAAGAAATCTAGAGGTATCATTCTTTCTGACTTCAAAATATATTACAAAGCATCAAAATAGGATGGTACTGTTACAAAGACGTATAAACAAATGGAGCAGAACTGAGAGCCCAGAAGTAATTATACCCATACATGGTCAACTAATCTTCAATAAGGGCACCAAGAATACACAACACCTTCAATAAAGGTGTTGGGAAAACTGGATAACCATATTCAAAACAATGAAATTGTGCCTATTTTTCTTACACCATACACAAAAATCAATGTAAGACCTAAAACTGTAAACTTCTAGAAGAAAACATAAGGGAAAACCTTTGTGACATTATCTTGGCAATAATATCATAGGTACGACACAAAAAGTACAAGCAACAAAAATAAACAAATAGGACTGCATTAAACTAAAAAGCTCTGCACAATGAAGGAAACAATCACGGGAGTGAAAAGGCAACCTATGAAATGGGAGAAAATATTTGCAAACCATATATCTGATAAGGGGTTAATCTCTGAAATGTATAAGGAACTGCCACAACTCAATAGCAAAATAAGAAAAAGAAAAAAAACCCCTAATAACTGGATTTAAAAATGGGCTAAAAACTTTACTAGACATTTCTCCAAAAAAGACTAAAAAATTGTTGTATTAGTCCATTTTCACACTGCTATAAAGAACAGCCTGAGACTGAGTAATTAATAAAGGAGGTTTAATTGACTCACAGTTCTGTATGGCCTGGGAAACCTCAGGAAACTTACAATCATGGCAGAAGGCAAAGGGGAAGCAAGGCACATCTTACATGGCAGCGAGAGAGAGACTGAAGGGGAAGTGCCACTTTTGAACTATCAGATCTCATGAGATCTCACTCATATTATGAGCACAGCAATGGGGGAAATCACCCCCATGATCCAATCACCTCCCATGAGATCTCTCCCTTGACACCTGGGGATTACAATTCGAGATTCGATTTGGGTGGGGACACAGAGTCAAACTATACCAATTGCCAATAGGTATATTTTAAAATGTTCAACATCACTAATCATCAGGGAAATGCAACTCACAACCACAGTGAAAGATCACCTCACTCCTGTCAATATGGCTATCATTAAAAAAAGAAAAAGTTGTTAAGTGTTGGGGAGGATGTGGAGAAACTGGAACACTTGCACATTGTTGGTGGAAATGCCAATTGGTATAGACACCATGGAAAATGGCATGGAGGTTCCTGAAAAAATTAAAAATAGAACTACTACATGATTCAGCAATCCTATTTCTAGGTATATAACCAAAAGAATTGAAATCAGTGTCTCCAAGATATGAGCATTCTTATGTTCATTGCATCATGATTCACAATAGCCAAGATGTGGAAACAACCTAAATGTCCATCAACAGATGAGTAAAGAAAATGTAATGTATATACATTATTCAACCTTACAAAAGAAGAAAATTCTACAATATGTGACAACATGAATAGACCTTGAAGATATTATGCTGAGAGAAATAAACCAGTAACGGAAAGACAGATACTGCATGGTTACACTTACATTACGTATGTAAAGTAGTCAGATTCAAGAGAATCAAAGAGTGGAATGGTAGTTCCAGAGGCTAGTGGGAGAGATAAATGAGGAGTCACTAATCAATAGGAATAAAGTTTTAGTCAAGCAATACAAATAAGCTCTAGAGATCCACTGTACCTATAGTCAATAACAACATATTGTACACTTAAAAATTTGTCAAGAGGGTAAACCTCATGTTAAATGTTCTTCCAATAATTTTTTTAAAAGAACAATAATGACCTACTCTATACTGATATGCAAAAATCACTGGGATACAATATTAAGCAAACAAAACAAGATGTAGAGCTGTATAATGTATGCTTGTTCTGTTTGCTTAAAATTGTGTCCTGGTAATTTCTGCATATCAGTGTCTAGTAGTATTTTTTTTCTTTTTTTAAAATTATGGTAAGAACATTTATCATATAGAAAATTTTCTTATATAAAATATATGTATGTATATGTATACCTGTACTTATTTTTCAAAACAAATGGAGAGATAAGCTAAAAACTAATTAAAATAATTACCTAAAGATTATGGATAGACATTTGGGGGACAACTATAACAATTCAATTAAGCTAATAATTGTAGAATTAAATTGACCACCTGATGATGCAGGTATTTTTTGTAGTATTTTTCGATTTTCTATATGTTAAAAATATTCATAATTTAATGTAAAAAAATTAAAATGCAAATATTAGACATGATTGACATGTTGACCTTTATCTGTTAAAAAACTAAAAATATAGAAATTTAACAAAAATCTTGTCATTTTTTGCTAATTGCCTACTTGTTTTAAATTTGTGGCATGGTAAATTTGGCCATTGTCTAGCAGGGAGAATTAAATTCAACTCAGAAGTAACGCTAATTGGGAAAAAGTAAAACTGGATTTTTATTTGTATAGAGAAAGCTGAAGAAATAACATATTAGTGTTTTCAGGGTTACAAGGATTTTTATAAGATGCAAAATGTCTAGTCATTTTCCCTTCTGGGAATAGAGAATAGGTCTTAATACTAATTATAACAGCCAGCATTTGCATAGCACTTTATTGTTCCCAAAATATGTTCCTGTCTCCTGATAGAAATGGTTGTAGCTAATCGAAGTGAGCTACTTAGAATAACATTAGATTCATTCTTTTTCTTTGGCAAAGACAACCACATGTCAGTTGGGCTGTGCAATTCCCCAGTGGTTAGAAAGAAGCAACACATAACCCTTTGGGATTCCTTCCTGTTTATACTTTTATATCTCCCAAACTTTGTCATATAAAACAAACTATGCTTCAATAAAACAGTTAATCCGGCATGCTCATATGTAAATCATTCTCGAAAGAGCAGCACTCTAATTGGACCTGAGTCTATTAATCCACATACCGGTGTTTTGCCTGAAAGCCATATTCAGCAAATGATATTTCTGTAATAGAAACAGTTATTACTGTAAAAGTAAATCTCTACCATGTAAAGTGGCACTTCTTAGTTTTAAAACACACACAACACCCCTAATACTTTGGATTCTAAGGCAGGTTAGCCTTTTAACTGCTGGCAACGAAAATAGGATTTTCTTCCTAGTTGCCATGTGTTTCCTAGAGGAACGTGTGATCAAAACAAATGTTAGCTATAGATATGTTTATATGTTTTACTTCATGACATCTTTCCCATTTGAATTGGCCTCCTTTGAATTCTTAGATTTCAGTAGGGAAGTTTTAGATATCTATTTGTGGACATGTGTTCTTCCTATTCCCTTAGCTAGGTTTTATTTGGTGGAGTCTCCTTCTAAGATGTTTTTCACATCAGTAAAATTATAGGCCAATAAAAAACAAAATAAGCTTGTCTGGAGTGAGTGATATGACCTCATGGCAGTGTAACTGCTTATCAAACAAATTCTCTAGAAGCATTTCAGTCCCTTTTTCTGATACAAGTTAATGAATAACTAGGTAAAAAATATTCAAATTAATATTTCCCCAAGATGAAGAGATTAGATATACAAAACTATAGTAAATCTTTTAACTCTTCAGAGTGTGTGATGTAATTGCTACTGTGGAAGCTAGATCCTTTGCCCTTCACGCCAGTTTTCAAGTAGTGGCATTGGATTTTAGTTGAGCAGGACTTGGGCATCCACCTGTCAGAATTCCTACTGTGGCAAGCACCCTGGAGGCCATAGAGACTGATCCTCACCCCCAGGGAAATCGAGACATCTGGTTATATCAGAAGAGAAAGTGAGATGACCTGCCAGGACTCTCTCCATAGGCAGGTGTGACTGCGCAAACCTAAGGAGGTACATAAATTAGGCGCAGTACAACAGAGAACCCAAACATTGCTTGGAAATCAATAATATAATGAGCATTAAAATAATACTTTTGCAAGATAAATGTCTCTGAAAGAAAATGATGAAGTACACAACAGATTTTTAAAAATTGGGAACAAAATATAAGAAAATTAGAGGATTAATCTGAAGAACAACTGCATTATTACAGTTTCAAAACATGAAGATTCAAAAAATGAAGAGAAGATTATCAAAGAAATAATGAAAGAAAAATTTTCAGACATTTAAGATATGAGCCAATTATATAGGCTTTCAATGTACTCATCAAAATAAATGCAGTAAGATAACCAAGATATGTTAAATTATCCAAAAAACTCACAAAAAGAAAACAAAATGAATAAAAAGACATTATGTTTAAATAAATTGAAGTAAGTATGGCATTGGACATGCTAAGAGCAATACTGACTATGAGAACACAATGAAGAAATGCATGTGAAATCCTGCCTCTTAATTTGGAAACTACTGTTCAGTGTTTTTAGATCCACCCTGCTTATTGTTTTATCCATGCAACATTTGTTTAGAGGTTTTTGTTTTGTTGTTTCCATTTTCTTTGCTCATTCTTACCAATTCTTCTTGCATCTCAGACTTTCCTCTTGGAATCCTTTTTCCAGAAATATATCTTTCAGAAAAAATTTTAAGCAGCTGTTGATAATAAGTAATTCTCATTTTTTATTTTCTAAAATTATCTCTATTCTCATTTGGTCTTGAATGATACTTAAGCTGGACATTTAATTCTTGGTCTACACTCATTTTCTCTTGGTTAATAATATTAATATGGGTCTATCATTGCCGCCGTTTTTGTTGTAACTATATTGTTCTCCCTTAATCCTTTTAAAATCTCTTGGTCTTTGGTTCCCCACAGCTTTAGTAAGCAGTGTTTAGATGTGTATCCATTTTTATTTATCTTATTTGGGATTTGAGAATCTTGAATTTCTATATATCTTTATGTTCTTAAAAATTCTTATCCACTATTTTTTAGAATATTTTATCTTTTCCATTATATTCTTTTTAAAAAAATGCTTCCGTTAGGTTTATATTGAAACCTCTCATTCTTTTCTTCCTATTTTCTCTCTCATATCTTCCATCTGCTCTACCTTCTGGCTAATTTTTTCAACACTTTTTTATGGCTTGCTCATTTCTCCTCAACAGTATCTATTTTGCTATTAAATCAACTGGAAGTTTATAATTTCAATCATTATATTTTTAATCTCCAGAAATCTAATTATTTCACATTGCCTGATATTTTAATAGTATTTTATTATTTATTTATATATGCGTATATATTTTTTGGAGGCAGGGTTTTACTCTGTAGCCCAGACTGGAGTGCAGTGAAACAATTGCAGCTCACTAGCCTTAAATTCCTGGGCTCATATGAGCATTACATCTCAGCCTGCTGAATAGCTAGGACTACAGGCATGTGCCACTGTGCCCAGCTATGTTTTTATGTTTTTATTTTTTGGAAACAGGGCCTCACTTTATTGCCCAGGCTGGTGTCTAACTCCTAGCCTAAGCAGTCCTCCCACCTCAGCCTCCCAAGGTGCTGGGATTACAGGTGTGAGCGACAACTCCCAAATATTTGTTTATATTTTGGTTCAAATCATATTCCTTAAAATTTCATTAATTCCCATTATGTCTCATATATATTTAAAATTTGAAGTTCTTGAGAGTAAGTCCTCAGTGTTCTGCATTCACTGATGGTGGCCTTTTTCCTGGAGCATTGTGTAAATTTTGGATTCTGAGTTTATAAATCCCTTGGCAAAGATTTGCCCTGGCTTCTTTCCAGGCTTCTGGGACACTCCTTGCATGGAACAAATATAAATTAATTTCTGAGTCTGGAGTTTCTGGAACCATCGAGTTAGTATAAATTTTAATATTAAACTCATGAGGGAAAAACTTAGGTTATGTATATGTACTCAATGAAAAAAAAATCTTCCTAGTATTCAGGTCATGTCAGACATGTATCTATGTCATTTCCTTTTCCCCGTGGACAGATTTTAATCTAGTCCATTCTTCTACTGAGGTTGCAACCTTCAAAAACATTATATGATGATGGTAGTTCTGTTTACGGTTGCAAAGCTTGGTTACAGTTGATAGAGATTAACAAATCACCACTGGCTAGCTATAGCTTTATGTATTGCTTTATCTTCAACCTTCTTGCTTATGTATCTCCGTTTATTTTTGCCCAACCAAAAGTGTGAATAGAATCACTTACAGGAATTTCAGTCATTGATTTCAAATTTGTAAAACAAGCTAATAGTTAATATTTTGCCAAAAAGAATATCTATAAGATACATTAACCTACTAATGGACTCCCAAACTATGTGAAAAAAAAAAAAACTGACAAAATTGAAGGGAGAAATAGACAACTGAACAATCATATTTGGAGCCTTCAATTTCCCACTTTCAGTAGTGGGTAGACAGCTAGGGAGAAGATCAACAAGGAAATAGAGAACCTAAACACTTAAACCACCTAGACTTTAATAGACATCTAGAGAGCAAAGCAGCCAACAGCAGCAGAATACACATACTTCTCAAGTGCATATGGAACATTCTTCAGCATAGACCAAATGCTAGGCCAGAAAATAAACCTCAATAAATGTACAAGGATCAAAATCAGACAAAATATGTTATTTGACCAAAATGTAATTAAATTAGAAATCAACATCAGGAAAATTTGGGAGATTCATATTATGTGGAAAATAAATAACAGCCTCCTAAATAGCCAATGAATCAAAGAAGAAATTACAAGTACAATTAGAAAATACTTTGAGACAAATGGAAATAAAAATACAACATACTGAAACTTAAAGCAGTGCTTAGAGGAAAATTTATATAACCACAGATGCCTACATTTAAAAAGATTTCAAGGCAACAACCTAATTTTCTACCTTATGAATCCAGAAGTAGAAGAGCAAACTATACTCAAAGCAAGAAGAAGAAAGGAAATAATGAATGTCAGAGAAGAAATACAGTAAATGAGATAAATAATAGAAAACAATATATTGAAATTCAACAAAACCCACAAGTTGGTTTTTAAAAAAATCAACAAAAGCTACCAATCTTTAGTTAGACAGACAAAGAAAAAAAGACTCAAATTACTAAATTCAAGAATAAAAGGGGGGCTATTGTTATTGACCTTATAGATGCAAGAATAATAAAAGAATACTATAAGCAACTGTATGCCATCAAATTAGATAACTTCAATAAAATGGACAGATCCCCAGAAACACATGAACTATTGAAACTGACCCCCCAACAATATGTAAAATCTGAATAGCCCTAAACAAGTAGAGAGATCAAACTACTAGTTAAAACCCTTCTCATAAGGAAAATCCCAGGTCCAGAAAGCTTCATTGTTGGATTCTATCAGACATTTAAAGAAGAATTAATGCCAATTCTTATCTAACTAATTTTTACTCAATTTATCTCTGTCTATCCTCATGCCAGTATCACATTGCTTTGATTACTTCTGCTTTGTAGTTATCTTTTGAAGTCAAGAGTAGAAGAGGAGAGGATATTTCTCCCACTCATTCTGTGAGGCCAGTATTACCAACACCAGACAGATATAAAGAAAAAAAAAACAAAACAAAACTACAGACAAATATTCCTTGTGAATATAGAAGCAAAAAATCCTCAACAAAATACTAAAAAGTTGAATCCGGTGGCTTGTAAAAAAGATTACACCCCATGATCAAGTGAGATTTAACCCATGAAACAAGATTGATTTAACTTCTGAAAGTCAATTAATGCGTTATACAATATTAATAAAGAAAAAAACCACATGATTATCTCAATGCAGAAAAATTATGTGACAAAATCCAACACAGTTTCATGACAAAAGCCCTCAACAAACTGAGAATGTAAGGGAATTCTTCAACCTGATAAAGCCAATCTATGAAAATCCCATAGTTAACATAATATTTAATGGAGAAGGAATTATTACTTTTCCCCTAAGATCAGAAATGTCTTTAGGATAGATATTCTCACTGCTACCATTCAACATTGCACTTGATGTTCTAGCCAGGATAATTAGAAAAAAAAAAAGCATCTAGATATCCAGATGGAGAAGGAAGAAGTAAAACTATTTCTATTTGCAGATGATAAAATCTCATAAAAAGAAAATCCTACTGTTAAATGAATTCAGCCAGGATACAAGGTAAATTAATATACAAATCCAATTGTATTTCTATATATCAGTAATTAGTAATTAAACAACAAAATTAAGGAACTGATTCCATTTAAAATAGCACAAAGAATGAATGTTTTTAAAAGAATAATTCTAACAATATAAGTACAATACTTGTGTACTGAAAGTACAAAATACTGTTGAAATAAATTAAATAAGATCTAATTAATTGAAAACATCTCATGTTTACAGATCAGCATTGCCACCAAGATGGTGGTCTCTCCAACCTGATCTACAGATTCAATGCAATCCATATAAAATCTAAGTTTTTTTTTCTAGAAATTCATAAGCTGATTCTAAAGTTCATATGGAAATACAAGGGACCAAAAATAGAACAATCTTGAAAAAGAAGAACGAAGTTGAAACACCCATTTGAATTGGAGGATTCTTGATTTAAAACTTTTTTTTTCATTTATTATTATTATACTTTAAGTTTTAGGGTACATGTGCACAATGTGCAGGTTAGTTACATATGTATACATGTGCATGCTGGTGCGCTGCACCCACTAACTCGTCATCTAGCATTAGGTATATCTCCCAGTGCTATCCCTCCCCCCGCCCCCAACCCACAACAGTCCCCAGAGTGTGATGTTCCCCTTCCCGTGTCCATGTGTTCTCATTGTTCTGTTCCCACCTATGAGTGAGAATATGCGGTGTTTGGTTTTTTGTTCTTGCGATAGTTTACTGAGAATGATGATTTCCAATTTCATCCATGTCCCTACAAAGGATATGAACTCATCATTTTTTATGGCTGCATAGTATTCCATGGTGTATATGTGCCACATTTTCTTAATCCAGTCTATCATTGTTGGACATTTGGGTTGGTTCCAAGTCTTTGCTATTGTGAATAATGCCGCAATAAACATACGTGTGCATGTGTCTTTATAGCAGCATTGTAATCAAGACTGTGATATTTGCATAAAGATAGTCATATCAATAAATGGAATGGGATTAAGAGCCCAGAAACAAACTCTCACATTATGATCAATTAATTTTTATAAGGTTGCCACAAAAATTGGTAGGAGAAGAATCACCTTTTCATCAAATGATCCTGGGACAACTGTGTATCCACATGCCTAAAGAATGAATTTGGATCCCTTCCAAAATTACATACACAAAAATTGGCTCAAGATGCATTATATGCATAACCATAAGGGTGAAAACTATTAAATTTCTAGAATAAAACATAAGAGTAAATCCTTATGATATCAGATGAGGCAATGGTTTCTTGACTATGAGACAAAAAAAGCACAAATAAATAAATAAATAAATAAATAAGTTGTACTTCACTAAAATTTAAAACTTCATGCTTCACAGGGCACCCATCAAGAAAGTTAAAAGACAACCCACGGATTGGGAGAAAAAATATCTGCAAGTTATATTTCTGATAATGGCCTTGTGTTCAATATATAAGAACATTTATAATAAAAGGCAACCTAATTTAAAAATAGGCAAAGAATGAGGATAGTCCTTTCTCTGATTATATGTGTGTGTGTGTGTGTATATATATATGTCATATATATATTATATATGTCATATATATATATGTCAGAGAAAGGACATATATAATCAGAGAAAGGACTATCCTCATTCTTTGCCTATATATATGTATATATATATATATTTTATATTCTTTGCCCATATATGTGTATATATATATTCTTTGCCTATATATGTGTATATATGTATATATGTATATATATTTATGTATATAAATATATTATATATATTATATATAATATATAATATATATAATATATATGTATAATATATATATATTTGGACATATATGTATGTGTCCAATAAGCATATGAAAAGACACTCAGTATCTTTAGTCTTTAGGGAAATGAAAATCAAAAGCATAGTGAAAGTCTACTTCACGCTCACTATGATGGCAAAATAAGAAAGTCAGTATTAATGAATGTATTCATATATCCATGATGAATATATGGAGAAATTGGAAGACTTACTTATATGTCACTGGTAGGAATGTAAAATGGTGCAATTTGGAAAACAGTTTGTACTTCCTTGAAAGGATAAACACACATCTAATATGTGACCCAGCAATTCCATTCCAGATATCTACCCAAGAAAAATGAAAACATAAGTCAGTATAAAACTCATCAACAACTATTCATAGCAATATTATCCATAATAGCTCCCAAATGGAAATAACCTAATGTCCATCAACTGAAGAATGGATAAACACAATATGCTATTTCTGTATAATGGAATATTGTTCAGCAATCAAAATGATGGAGTATTGATGCATGCTTTGAAGTAAATAAACCTTGAAAATGTTGAGCTAAGTGAAAGAAGAGAATCACAAAATGGAATATTACATGATCCCATTTATGTGAGATATTCAGAATAAGCAAGTCCATAGAGACAAAAATCAGATTATCAGTTGCTTAAGGCTGAGGAGTAGAGGTAGTAGGGGGTGACTGTTAATGGGTGGGCTTTTTGGGAGGGTGGGTGTTGAAAATGTTATAAAATTCTACTATGATGATAGATTGCACAATTTCGAATGTACTAAACACCACTGAACTATGCACTTTAAAGGAGTGAAATTTATGGTTCATGAAATAAAGCTATAAAGAAAAAGAAATAGGCCCTGCACCAGTTTCTATTATCAGAGGAAAATAATTAAAAATAATGCAGCTTTCTATATGAACTATATTTTAGGGCAAACCAAAAGCCTTGAATGATAAAAGAAAGTTTTTCTTGAAAAGAAATTCCAGCAAATAAATATGAGAGAATTGATAGAATTAGAAAAATCACCATTTTGTAACCCCTAAGAAACCTAATTTGGACAAAGATCACCAGAGAATGAAGCTATTGGGTAAAAGACTGATTGGTAATTCTATAGTAGAGGGATCCATTTGTCACCACCTGCTATGATCGGAAAGTCTGTGTCACCTAAAAATTCATATGTTGAAATCCCAACCCTCAAGGTGATGATATTAAGAGGTAGGGGCCTTTGGGAGATGATTAGGTCATGAGGATGAAGCCCTTATGAATGGGATTAGTGCTGGAGGAGCTTGTTTGCCCCTTCCATCATGTGAGGACTCAGCTAGAAGGTGTCATCTATGAATCAGAGAGTGGAACCTCACCAGACACTGAATCTGCTAATACCTTGATCTTGGACTTCCCCGTGTTGAACTGTGAGAAATAGATTTCTGTTGTTTATAAGTTACACAATCTATGGTATGTTGTTATAGCAGCCTGAATGGACTAAGACACTAATCGAATCCATATCTATTTTAGCATCAATAAGGGGTAGACCACCAGGTATTGTATGCCTGATTTGTGGTGCTATATGAAATATACAGCATCACTTATGTAGTTTTTGGTAAAGGGAGATACAAAAAGATATTAAATCTGAACCTATTAAAACCTTTTGAGCTGACAGCTGATAGAAAATTTGTGTTGCTGGTAAGAGAAGTTAAATGAAACCACAGAGGATCAAACAGAAACATATATAATATAGGACATTCTATAGAACACCTGACCCAATTTCTTGAAGTCAATGGGATGAAATTTTAAAAAAAAACCTGACAAAGGAATAGTTCAGATTAAGAGACTTAGAAGACATAACCAAACACACTGTGTGGACCTTGTTTGGATCCTGATTCTAACAACCCATGTGTATAAAAGATAGTTTTTTGGGACAAATGAACAGTTTTGAATATGGCTTTCATATCAGATAATACAAAGGAATTCTTGCTATTTATGTTAGTTATGATAATGACAATTGCAGTATGCACTTTTTAAAAGTATACCTTTTAAAAGGTATAATTAAATATGTTGAAATTAAGTGACATGAGATTTAGGATTGCCTCTAAAATACTTCAACTAAACATTTAGAATGCAAAATATTGATAACTGATCTATGTAATAAGTACATGGAGTTTGTTACATATTCTCTATACTTTGTGTTTGAAAAATAATTGTGATTAAAATTTTATTTTCAAAAATATGTGCCCATGAGATTACCACTTTCCCTCATTCTTCTCTCTCCACTGGCATCCATTGAAGTACATGACACCCAGAGTTTTCAATTATTCAATCTGGAGGTGTCATCACAGTGAACATGCTATACAGTAATAGTAAATTACAGGTGCACAAACTCACATTTCTTATCTTATTTTGTACAAGATGGAGCACTAACCAATACATTTATGTAGGACCTTCTAAGTCCTACTATTACGACTTTTCTTTAAGAGGTGAGAAGCCAATGAAGGATTTTAAATAGGAAAATCACATTAAAGAGCTGACTAGATCACTATGCCTTCCCTCTGGAAAAGTGAATGAGAGAGTAAGGAAAGGGAATGAAAGGAATGTAGTTCAGTCAATAATATATTCATTTAAATGTATTTATTAAGCATTTAGTATATGATAGGCATTCATCTAATTACTGAAGTAATGTAATAGTAAATGTGGTTGATGATCATAATTTGAATTATGGTAGTCGTCAAGAAGAAAATTGAAGAACTTCAACTTATTTGAAAGATATTTTGGGGGTAAAATTAACAGGAAAATACTTGGCAGTGGTTTAATAATGGAGGAGTCAAGATTAGATTTCTGACTTGAGACATAGGATGGAATATCTACAGTAAAGAAGACCAGGTTTGTAAGGAAAGATCATAAGTTGTATTTGAGCATGTCAAGCATGATAGATTTGTCAAGTAAATCAGTTGGATAGATGGATCTGTATTTTAGGAGAAAGGTTTTGGCTTCCAGGAGTTTTTTATATAAATTTGTGATTGATCCACCAATACAAAAGTGGCATAACTTACTTATCACCTTCCCCTTAACAAGCCACTTTTCATGAGCTCAAGGGTCACCTCTATTGAGTTTCGTCAACTTACCCTATTACAATTGTCTACTCCTGCCTTTGTCCCCTGTTATTCTGGCACAGGCTGCTACCGTGGTGTCTATAACCTCTTCCTTGTACTCGTTTTTCGGCTGTCTCCTCATATTTGATTGTAAGGCCTTTAAGGAAAGGCATCGTGACTTCCCTTTGTTAGCAAGTGTCTGATATTTTGTAAGCCCTAAGTAATATAGGTAGGTGCCTAATAGTATGAATATGGAGGCAGATTAAAACCATTAACATTTAAGCTCCGGAATATAGCTAGTGCTACAACATTAAAACAGTAGGCACTCTCCAGTATCTTTCTAAAACAGTCCTTTAGGATAAATGGCAATAGCAATCCCACCCCTCAACTCTCCCCCACCTCATCATCACCTCAATACATGTAGCAAGTAGAGGAATGGAGCTCTGAAGTGGATGGTGTAGAAAATTTTAATGAAGCATTTTTTAAAGTAAAGAAGCTAAATCACTAATAGCTGAATTACAAACACACCACAGAAATAGATAATAATGAGGAAATTCTTAATGTTTTCTATTTAACCAAGTGGCAAATAATCAAGTGTGTCATGAGATGTCAAAAGAGAGGAAAAACATTTCCTCTACTCTCTTAGGTTTATAACTGGGGTTTGCAAGTTAAACTGACAAAAAAAAAAAAGATTAACAGGAGAAAAGGCATACATATGTTATTGATGTTAATATTTTTACATGTGTAGTTAGAGAGGGGTTCACAGAAAAGAGGTTAAAATCCCTAAGAGGTAGTTAGACCCAGGGGCTTATAAATCATTTTAACAAAGGATGATAAATTGTGGAAAAGTGACTAGACAAAGTAAAAGAGGTTTAGCCTTCTAAAAACGGTAAATTGTGGGAAGGTAAAAATATGGAAAAACTAATGTAAAGTAAGGGTTGTTTAGTAAATATTCTTATGCCAACTACTCTCCAGTGACAAGAGTAGTATCTAGTGATTAAGAATTGTCTCTTTTTCTCGATATGGGAGAAGAGAGCAGGAAACCTTCACAAAAGGAAATGTATGCCCTATTTTTAGTTAGAAAGTGGGAGGACAGAGAATTCTTCCTTCATCTGCTGCTTCTCAGTTGCTTTGAACTCAAAATAATTCTTATGCCAAAGTAACATGTTTTGGGGTGGCCTATTCATAATTCTTATGCCAAAGTAACATGTTTTGGGGTGGCCTCTTCTGATCCCTTTCAGTCACATAATGCAATTATAACTTCTGATATAAATCCATATCACTTTGCTTTACTGAATCTCAGTTTCTTAACTATAATATAAAAAATTACAGTAAGATAATCTCTAATGTTATTCTCAAATCTCAAATTTCATGAGAAGATATACTTTTTATCATCTGTCCTACATGATTTTCACATTCACAGAAACTGTAATTTTATAAGAACATCTAATAAAGGATATGCTCTGGAATATTCTTCTTTTTTTTGAGATGGAGTTTCGCTCTTCTTCCCCAGGCTAGAGTGCCATGGCATGATCTTGGCTCACTGCAACCTCCACCTCCTGGGTTCAAGTGATTCTCCTGCCTCAGCCTCCTGAATTAGCTGGGATTACAGCCATGCACCACCATGCCCAGCTAATTTTTATTTTTAGTGGAGATGTGGTTTCTCCATGTTGGTCAGGCTGGTCTCAAACTCCTGACCTCAGGTGATCCACCTCCCTCAGCCTCCCAAAGTGCTGGGATTACAGACGTAAGCCACCATGCACGGCTTATGCTCTCGAATATTCTATAGAGAATATGAAGATTAATCATAGAGGACCTTAGCTGATCCCTTCAGTAGGCAGTTTACCAAAAAGATCTAGTCTTTCAAATGTAATATTAGATTTTGTAGCTGAAGACTTTAAAATTTCTGGAATCAGCTATTCAGTCTGTGACATAACTTAATTATACACTTAAAAACAGGATTGTGTTAAATGTGGTTTATTGCATATACCAAAATGCTGTCCACTTGACCACAGTATCACATTCATGTGGTATAACAGTTTTAGTGCCTGTCGGAATCCATATTATCCTTAGAGAGCCATTAAGGTATTCGTTTTTTACTTATGATTTCAAACATGATTTAATGACTAGATATTACCTAAGTTTCCTAGATACTGGAGAAAGTCAAAAATATATTGAATATCCATTTTGTCCCAGTTTGTATCACCCATATCATTATTTAAAGTGTCTACATATGGCAATGGAAGCAATTACCAATCTAACCAGACATCAAAATCTTAGAGTATGAAGACACAAGAAATTTAAGACAAAGTGTTGTTATTTCAGCCTGTGGACAGATAGGGGGACTTCATATACTTTTGATCCTGGTGTTGTCTCATTGGGATATGTTTGTGCCTGTTTCAGGGTATTGATGCCTCAGTATAATTTTTCTTTTTTTTTTTTTTTTGCTGAAGAATATGACCATTAATGTCAAAATAAGATTAAAAATAAAACTCAAGTTTTTGTTTTTCCTTGCTGGTCTAAAGTAGATGCACCAGCCATTAGCAAAATTGATGAGCTTGAATCTGTGTCATTATTCTAACTGATGTATCAGAGCCTCAGGGTGATTCTGCCTTTGGCATCACTGAAATTTAATGTGAACAATATCACTCGAAACAATTACATAATAGGGCCTTTATTGTTGGCTCATTAGCATCCAGAGACAGTTTTACAAGGGATTATTCCCTTCTATTCGGCAGGAGGTTTTTCCTTTCTTCTCACTGACATTGTGTTTTTATCTGAGAAGATTGCTGTGAGTGATCAGATGCCAAATAAAACATGAGCTTTTTATCTAAGTTCTGCAGGAAAAAAAAAATGCCCAGGGAAAGTACTTATTCTGCTACTAGAGAAACTTTAGATTGGAAATTAGAATTATAATATGCCATGGTGTCATATTAAAACTAAGACCCAGTGCCAATTTCATTATAATCAGTTTACCAAGCATCCATGGAAACAACTCTTTCACTGACTAAATTACTATACATCCCCAAATTTTGGAAGAGAAATCTACACAGATGCAGAATCTAAATAGAACAAAGCAGAGCAAAGAGTTGGCAATATTCCACTGAAATAGGGCAGTGGAGACAAATAGTTTGTATAATTCAGCCATTTCCCCAACTGCACCCCCACAAGTATTTTTATTATATGAATTCACTTATTCACTTATTCAAGGGTTTGTTGAGCATCTACTGTATGCCAGGCACCATTCTAGAAACATGGGAAACAGCTATGATCTCAATAGTCAAAAATCCCTGCCAGCAAAGAGTTTATATTTTAGTAGAGAGAAACAAAAAAATTAAAAATGAAGAAAATGCATGCTTCGAAATACTATGGAGGGCCAGGCACGATGGCTCATGCCTGTAATCCCAGCACTTTGGGAGGCTAAGGCAGGTGGATCACATGAGGTCAGAAGTTCGAGACCAACAGGGTGAAACCCCATCTCTACTAAAAATGCAAAATTAGCTGGGCTTGGTGGCACATATCTGTAATCCCAGCTACTCGGGAAGCTGAGGTAGGAGAATCACTCAAACCCGGGATGTGGAGGTTGCAGTGAACCAAGACTGTGCTATTGCCCTCCAGCCTGGGCAACAAGAGCCCATCTAAACTCCATCCAAACTCCATCTAAAAATACATACATACATACATACATACATACATACATACATACATACATACATACTATGGGGGAAAGAGCTAGAAGAGGGATAGGGCATCCTAGGGGTAGGTGATACTTTAGTTTAAATGCAATGATAGGAAAAACTGCACTCAGAAGTTGACATTTGAGCAAAGACCTGAAGGTTAGTAATGGAGCTAGGCAGATAATTGAGGAGAAATCCCAAGAAGTGGAGTGAACAGCAAAGGCAAAGGGCCTGAGAAGAGAGTGTCTGGAGTGTTTCAGGAAGAGCTGAGACGCCTACGTAATTGGAAAGAAGTCAATGAGGAGGTGAATAGTTGGAGGTGAGGTTAGACAGTGAAAGAGGAGATGCCATTATAAGATTTTTGGCGTTTAGCCTGAGAGAAATAGGAAGCTTAATGGCATGGTGATCAATAGAATGACATGGTTTAATCTGGCTGCTGTGTAGAAAATAGACTGAAGGGAGAAGAGGAGGCAGAAACAGGGACTACAAAGGGTTATTGCAATAATCCAAGCAGGAAAAAATAATGGCTTAGAAAGAGGTGGTGACAATGAAGATAATAAGAAGTGTGCAGACTGAATATTCTATTCAGAAAATAGAGTCAGCAGGACGTGCTATGGGGTTGGATACAGTTATGTGAGAAAAAATGAATCAAAGTCAAATAGTTTTAGCCTGCAAAAGATGCAGAAATTTACTGAGCTGAGAAGAAGATGAAATGTGAATGAAGCACCTTTGGGGGAAATTCAGGAGTTCAGTTTTAGGCATGTGAATTTTGAAATGACTGTTACACATCTAAGCAAAGATTGCAAGAGGTCAATTAAATACCAACTCTGGATATTAAAGAAACTTTTTTCTCAACTAAACCTTAAATAGTATTATTAATAAGAACTTCTGAGCAAAAGTGGTATTCATTTGAGAACAGAGTGGAAGCATGTGATACCTAATAAAACTATGCTGCATGGGAATTGAAGATGTAGAATGTCAATTGGCTCTCTCTCCCTCTCTTTCCTGGACTGTGGGATGTCTTAGCACTCTTTCTCTTTGCACATTTACTTTTTTCTCTTTCCTGATACCTGATTTCCTCTGCCCCATAACACATGGGTTTTTATGGCAGCAGTGTCAAACAGGATATATAAAGATGACTTTCCAACGTTGCTACCAACAGCTAATTGACCCTCTTCTTCCGAAAGAGAATCTGGCCAGTTTGTGTTTAGTATCTCCTCCCTGATCTAAGCATATAGATCAGAGAGAGATTAGAAGCACCAGTATTATAAAATTCTTAATCTAGACAATAATTATGAGCAAAATTTTCCTAAAATTAATTAGATTTGTTTCCTTGATGTCACATATTGCCATAACTTTGTAATTACATCTGGAATAATAGGTTACATACCTCTGGGCCACCAAATTGAGCTGCCAATCTGGATTTGGGACTTTGTGTGTATAGAGTTACTTTTAATAAACTGAAGGAATGGATTTAAGGAATAGTATTAAAGGAATTGCTAATACAATAATCTTTTCACACACACACACACACACACACACGAGCACATTCATTATGCATGATCTTCTTAGTCCTGGTTTTCTTGGGCCTTGTATTAGTCCATTTTCAACATAGCTGAGACTGGGCAATTTACAAAAGAAAGAGGTTTAATGGACTTACAATTCCATGTGGCTGGAGAGGCCTCACAATCATGGTGGGAGATGAAAGGCACATCTCACATGGCAGCAGACAAGAGAAGAGAATGAAAACCAAGCGAAAGGGGTTTCCCCTTATAAAACCATCAGATCTCATGAGACTTATTCACCACCATGAGAACAGTATGGGGGAACCACCCCCTTGATTCAATTGTCTCCCACTTGGTCCCTCCCACAACTCAAGGGAATTATGGGAGCTACAATTCAAGATGAGATTTGGGTGAGGACACAGGCAAACCCTATGATTCCACACTTGGCCCCTTCCAAATCTCATATCTTCACATTTCAAAACAAATCATGCCATTCCAACAGTCCCCCAAAGTCTTAACTCATTTCAGTATTAACTCAAAAGTCCACAGTCCAAAGTCTTATCTAAGACAAAGCAAGTCCCTTCCACCTGTGAGCCTGTAAGATCAAAAGCAAGTTAGTTACTTCCTAGATAAAATGGGGGTAGAGGCATTGGGTAAATACAGCTATTCCAAATGGAAGAAATTGGCCAAAGCAAAGGGGCTAAAGGCCTCATGCAAGTCTGAAATCCAGCAGGGCAGTTAAATCTTGAAGGTCCAAAATGGCCTCCTTTGACTCTATGTCTCACATCTGGGTCATGCTGTTGCAAGAGGTAGATTCCCATGGTCTTGGGCAGCTCCACTTCTATGGCTTTGTGGGGTACAGCCTCTCTTCTGGCTGCTTTCATGGGCTGGCATGGAGGGTCTGTGGATTTTCCATGTGCAGGGTGCAAGCTGTTGGTGGATCTACCATTCAGGGATCTGGAGAACGGCGGCCCTCTTCTCACAGCTCCACTAGGCAGTGCCCCAATGAGGACTCTGTGTGGGGGTGCCCACCCCACATTTCCCTACTGCACTGCCCTAGCAGAGGTTCTCCATCAGTGTCTGCTCCTGCAACAAATGTCTGCCTGGACATCCAGGCGTTTCCATACATCCTCTGAAATCTAGGCGGAGGTTCCCAAACCTCAATTCTTGACTTTTGTGCACCCACAGGCTCAACACCACATGGAAGCTGCCAAGCCTTGGGACTTGCACCCTCTGAAGCCATGGCCCAAGCTGTACTTTGGCCCCTTTTAGTCACAGCTGGAGTGGCAGAGATGCAGGGCACCAAGTCCCTAGACTGTACACAGCAGAGGGACCATAGGCCCAGCCCATGAAACCATTTTTGCCTCCCAGGCCTCCAGGTTTGTGATGGGAGGGGCTGTTGTAAAGGTCTCTGATATTCCCTGGAGACATTCTCCCCATAGTGTCTTGGGGATTAACATTTGGCTCCTTGTTACTTATGCAAATTTCTGCAGCCGGCTTGAATTTCTCCTCAGAAAATGGGATTTTCTTTTACATTACATTGTCAGGCTGCAAATTTTTCAAACTTTTATGCTGTGCTTCCCTTATAAAACTGAATGCCTTTAACAGCACCCAAGTCACCACTTGAATGCTTTGTTGCTTAGAAATATCTTCTGCCAGATACCCTAAGTTCTCTCTCTCAAGTTCAAAGTCAGACAAATCTCAAAAAAGGGCAGGGACAAAATGCCACCAGTCACTTTGCTAAAATATAATGAGTCACCTTTGCTTCAGTTCCCAACAAGTTCCTTATCTCCACCTGAGACCATCTCAGCATCTCAGCCTAGATTTCATTGTCCATATCATTATCAGCATTTTGGTCAAAGCCATTCAACAAGTCTCTAGGGATTTCCAAACTTTCGCACATTTTCCTATCTTTTTCTGAGCCCTCCAACTGTTCCTACCTCTGCCTGCCTGTTACCCAGTTTCAAAGTCACTTCCACATTTTTGGGTATCTTTTCAGCAGCTCCCCACTCTACTGGTACCAATTTACTGTGTTAGTCCATTTTCACGCTGCTGATGAAGACAGAGCCTTTAATGGACTCACAGTTCTGTGTGGCTGGGGAGGCCTCATAATCATGACAGAAGATGAAAGGCACATCTTACATGCTGGCAGACAAGACAAGAGAATGAAAACCAAGTGAAAGGGTGTTCCTCTTATAAAGCAATCAGATCTTGTGAGACTTATTCACCACCATGAGAACAGTATGAGGGAAACCGTCCCTATGATTAAAATATCTCCCACTTGGTCCCTCCCACAACACGAGGGAATTATGGGAGCTACAGTTCAAGATGAGATTTGGGTGAGGACACAGCCAAACAATATCAGGCCTCTTCAGGATGTGATAGGCAGTTGTGTTCTGCTAACCCAGCTCTGGAAGGACAGGTGAGGATTTTTAGCATTTGCTGATTTTCATGGGCTAAATACTCCCAATATGGCTGATTTCAAGCTACCCGCATGTCTCTGAATGCAAAATTGGGAGGAGACATATAGAATTTGCTCTTGCTAGTATAGCACATCACTGACAGGGTCCACATTTTCCGGATATGTAGTAGATCATAGGATCCCTTTCCCCATCAAATCTGGAGCTTAGGGAGATATTCAGACTGGAAATATACATTTGATAAACACTAACAAATTCATGATATTTAAAGACACAGTACTGAATGAGGACATCAAGAGAGTGAAAAAAGAAGACAGTTTGAGTCTCAGAATATGATTCCAGGTCAGAGAAAATGGAGAATCTCTAAATATTGAGAAGAAGTAGCTCAATAAGGTAGGAGGAAACTAGAGAGTTGACTCACCTGGAAATCCTGCAAGCATCATTCCAGATGAGACTGGAAAGATAGGAAGCAGCCAGACCTTTCAGGGCCTTGGAGATAATCTTCAGAAATGTTTTGTTTATCGTAAGCTAGTAATTGCTTTATGTCTTGAATTGAAAATTCCAAAGATTTCAATATGTTGTATTTCAGTTCTGGCATCTAAATAAAATTTAATTTTTTTTCAGAATGTTAATTGATTCAATCCTATCAAATCGGCCAATGTTTCAAAATATATTAAAAATATACTTTTTCGTTAGATGGACTAAAGTAATGACTTATTTATTTTTTGTTTTAAAACTAGAAATTTTCTGTATTCTGGAGAAAAAGAATGGTCTATAAAATATTATTATAAACTTTAATTTGACCCAGTAGCTTCATGTGACCAAGTAATTCATATGTCTAACAACCAGAGATTGACATAACCCAGTATGAGTGGTAGCATTATTATATTAAATTGTAGATATTTTTTACCCTACTGATTTTTCCTTCATTTAAAGCAAATACAATCTGAAAGCCTAAATTAAGGTCTTGAATAGTCATACAAGATTTAAAGCCTTTTCAAAGAGCAGAAAGATGTGTGTGCTCATTATCTTATGTACATATCAGACTCAATTAGATAAAAGTTAATAGCTGAAAATGGACCCAAAAAATATGTTTAATTTTTTTATTGCAGAAAAATGCATTTCTTATCTGTCTTACCACATAAATATTAATCTGGTTTCATGTTAGAGTCATAAAATAATCTCCTATACTAAAGGACCAGTGAGTGCCATTTGTGAATAACATCAACAGTTTCGGATGATCCCAATCATCTGTCACTGCACATTGTCATCTCAGCTGGGCAACCCTGGCAATATTGCAGCAGGCTATTGTTTATTGAGAAAGCTAATATTAGGAGGAGATGTGATAAGAATGCCTTAAAAAAAACTAATTGAATGCTATCTGGTTTTTGGCAATAGCATCTTGTATCTCTCTGCAGTTTATCGCTTTAGAGTCCTTTATTCAGTCTTTTTATAAAATCCCATTATTTAAAAATTGAGGGCAGAGTGATGGCATGTAAGGAGTTTTATATATTAGTCTGATACTCAATGATAACCCTTTCTTCTCTACTTCTCAACAAACCCTACTTTATTGAAAAACATGGGAAAACCTGCAGAAAATATTGAGATCTGAGTCACAAAGTCCCAGGGTTCACTTAAAACATTTTCCAAATTCTTATTGTAATTTGGATAGTAAAAAGCAAAATCAAAATGTATGAAAACATTATTAAGTGTGGGGTAGGAATATTTCTATAAAATCATGCCCTTTCTAATGTTTTTCACCTGATTCTTCTTTTGAGGTGGTTACAGAATTCCCAAACAGAGCAAATAGATGGAGAGATGCATGATAAAGAAAACACAGCAAAATATTAATTGTACAATTTAGGTGGTTTCTCTGTGTAATTCTTCCATGATTTTAATATGTTTGTAAAATTTTATAATAAATCATTGGAAACAAAATACCTAAATATTCCATTTCTGGCCTTATCAGTGAAAATTGAACAGACGTTTGTTCGTTTCATTAAATGATTATTTGTAAGTTTAAATCAAAATAACCTTGAAGCAGCCAATTCTGTTTTCTGAGAAAATTTCATACTTCCAATCTGAATTTGAAGAAACATAAACCGGGAGGAAGAATCAATGAATTAAATGGAAATATTTAGGAAAAACAGCAGCAAGAAAATAGCAATGATAATTGTAGTTCATATTTTTGTAAAAGACCTGGAAAGAGACCAATGACAAAAAGTGCTTATTCTTTCCACAGAAATGTATTAACCTGATTAATTTTTCAAACTAATGTTTAAAACACTTTGAAAGTAGAAATTGTTTACTATATATACACATATATTTTTACAAACCTCTTCCTGATTGCCATCCAGAAACAAAAAGTAGAAACTAACCCAGCTCCTGGTGATATGGACTTTCCTTTGTGTTAGACTTCTCTGATTTGATCATGGTGTCTGGGACTTAGACATAGTTCTTGATCTCTCTGCTTCCTCCCTTCCTTCTACAGGGAAAGACGACAAGAGCAGAAATATCAGATGGCCTGTAGGCGCCCATCTATGTAGTAGCACAAATAGCAGCTGAATGTAGTTTCGGTCAGGTACAAAGAAACAAATGCCTGTTGGTTTTCCCAAATGTTGTTTACCCTTCTGATATTCTTCCCAACAGCCATCACATATAAATATGTATGGTATTTATTTTAGTTTGCAGCTGAGTACAAATTAAGCAAGGTGCTTCAATACCAATATGTATTCTTTGATACGAAGTTACTGAGCTATTTAACTGAATGGATTTGAGACTACCTTAATGGCTACTTCTCTGTTAAATTTTGCTAATAAAGAACATCACACACACACAACACACACACACACACACACACACACACACAAAGAAAGTGTGGCAGAGGCAAGGAACTTGGCATAATCTTGTCCTCTAGTTTTTATACGCATGTCTTGAAGACAATTACATTTTATAGCAAAAGCCAAGTATCAGGTAAAAGCACCTAAACTCCTTTTTTGAAACATAACATCCAAGGCAAGATCAAGCAGCAACAGCAGCAAAGCAAGTAACCACAGTGGTAAAAGGTGAGTGGAAGGTCAAGGTTGGCAGGAGTTGGGAGCTAGGTCTCAGGACATGTTTCCCAGTATAAATACACCAGAAAACAGGAAAGCAAACAAACAAAACTTCCTTTCATTAATAGCATTATTATTTTAAGTGTCTTACAACAAATAAAAATTTGAACATTCTATTTCTAGAATTTCTTTTTCTATCAAAATAACATTCCTAAGCTGGAATGTTATCATTTTGGGTTTGTTAGGCTTGGCTGTCAAAATGGTTTTCAAAGATGTTTTTGGAGTAGTGAATGGGTGAAGTTACTGAGAAAGGGGGATGGGATGAAGAAGATTGACTGAAATTCATGGAGAGACAAAACTGTAAAATAAATCAGCAACACAGTGTCTGAAAAGCATTAGCTACAAGAACTTCTATCAGGCAGCACTAATGCAGTTTAAACAATGAATACTGTATCAGTCAAAACCCAGGGCAGGAAATAGACACTAGAAATGTGATAGATAGATAAATAAATAGATGGATACAATAATTAAGTACTTAAATTTGTTGGAGGGTTGAAGGGGTGATTTCTAGTTTGGGCCTCCAGAAATGACTCAGAACACTAAAGAGATGACCTGTCAAGGGTGCTACCACCTTGGTGTCTAACATTGGATTGGAGTTTTGAATTCAAGAACATACCCCAGGTGGGGATCCTCAAAATCAGGATGTGAAATCAAGAAGATGCCATTGCTGCTGCCGCTGCTGCTGCTACTGCAAATGCTTCTGTTCTAGATAACAGCCTTTCTAACACTAAAGCAGAAACAACTCACCTTTCCTTGACCTTGCCTGCAAGAAGAACTAAAAGAAAAGGTGAGGGCAGAGAAAAGGTTTCCACCTTATTTCTGTCTTCTGAATCTTAAGTGAGTGTAGCTAATTGGTGGAAAATAATTAACATCCAGAATTTGAGTTCCATGGGCCTCTGAGAAATATTTTTTAAAATTTCTCAGTGTTCTAGATCTAAAAGATGGCCAGAAGTGAGGAGTCAACCCACAATATCCATGACAGAATCAATATCCATGAATAGAAAATATTTATAAATGCTCGTATAACCATTTTATATTTTAATTCCTGGGCCTAAGATTATAATGTCAATAATGAAAAAAAATTTGTATAAAATACACACATATACCTGAATTAAATATTTATGCAGGTAATTTATATTCACTTAATAGACAAAATTATAGTCTGTTGACTAGCTAGATTCAAATCCTGAACAGCCATCCATTAAATATATTGTACACGTTATTTAACCTCTGTGAACCTTCGTTTTCTCATTCTTAAAATGAGAACTATGATAGTAACATCTCATAGGGTTAGTGTCAAGGTTAAATGAGAAAATACAGGCAAAGTGCTTATATGGTGTCTGATTCATTGCTGTTATTGTTGCTGTTGGATTCAGACACCCCACTTACACTACTTAGGTTTGAAGTCCAGTCATGGAGTTTACTAGCCATGTGACTGTGAGAAATTTACTTGTAATTTCTATGCCTCAGTTTCCTCATGTGTAAAATTTGAGGTTACAATTGTAGGTGTCATGTAAGGGTAGTGATTTAAAAAAATAAAATAACATATAAAGTGATTTCACTAGTGCCTGACACAAAATAAGATCCAGAGTATTTTTTAAAACTTTCTACATTTAGTTACTTCATTTGCTTTCACAATATCAGTCTAGTCAACATTTTCTTTCAGAAGATTTAACACAAGGTCTTTATTTTTGCAGTTTTTCTGAGAAGCATCACTTACCTATTCTGTTTATTCTGTCTTATAGACACAGATTTCGTGATAAACCATCTCAGGCATGAAACTGTCTGGATTGGTACACAATATTCATGTGCTATTCAGATATGGTATAGTGGATATTATATGTAAAATCTTTACTACCAGTATAGTAGATGCCAAGTGATAAAAATTCTAGGATGTAACACCACTAATTTTGTCCCTCAAAACCAAGGAACTATGACAATAGAATGAAGTAAGGAAAAGAGGTGCAATTGAGAGTATGATTACAAATTGATTTTCTTAAACTTAGTTTGTTAATAAGAAAAAAAAATAAAGCCATAACTGGAAAACTTAAGAAACAGTCCTCACTTTGAAGCATTGCTCAGTTTAATGAAAATTAAATAAATGTTATGGTCAGAAAACCCAATCTGCATGTACACCTTCATCCTGCCAATTACTGTCTATGTGACCTTAACTTGTTCTTAAACCTTCTGAAAGGCTATTGTGTAGCCCCATATTTGAATGAGGCTTTCTCCATTCAAATATGGGGCTACCCTACAGGTTTCTTAGGAAGGTTACATTTAAGTTTACACATATCTACATGCCCATGGGTTTAGCAGGCACATCCCCTAGAGTTTCTTTTATTCTAAAATTCATGGAACACCTTATATTAAACACTTATTTTTGTTCATAAAACTTATCAGTAATACAGTCTATGAGTTCATAAACAATAGTACAACTTTAGTTTACAAAACAAAATGTAAATTTAATGTAAAGATAACTTGAAGAAATACAACTAAGCTTACAAATAATTGAAATATATTTATCTGAAAATGTAGGTAACAGTCAAGCTTGGCTTGATTGTCAACTGCAGTTACTGTGGGTTAAAGCTCAAGCTTTGGCATTTAGTAGCTCCTTAATCTTGAGCAGGTTACTTAAATTGTTAGCTTTAGTTTCCTCGTTAGTTGTGAATAGGGATAATTAAAGTACTTATCAGAAAGTTGTTGGAAGAATCAAATATCAGATATTGTTTTTAACTATTGGTTCAGATTAATTACAATTTTTTTTAAAGCTTGAGAAATTCATGAGAAGTATCAAATGGAGAAAAAGGAATTGGTCATGGTTAGAACATGCCACTAGATCTTTAGGAATGGCCATCCTTAGAAGCAGAGAAATGCTACACGTGAATCCAGAAAAAGTTGGGGTTTTTCATGAATTAAGCAATGTTTTATCTCTTCAGTTCCAGTGCAGTTTTGAGAAGTAGAAAAATGCTGCATTTTCAGCCTCAAAATTAACTTTCATGATCTGTCAGCAGTGGTAGAATGAATCTTGGAGAATCAGGGACAGTTAGGTCATATTTCTGTGGAGCTTTATGTGATAAAGAGGTATTGACTAATCTTAGTTTTCATCGCAAAATCCGAGGTCCATATCAGTTCTTGCTAGTGATACCAACACAATCTAAGAGAACAGAAGAGGTAATTCCATCAGCCTTCTGGCATGATGGAGCTTGGAAAGATAGATACTCTTGGAGACAGAAACACGGCAGTTGTGCCTCAGTCCTTAGGAGGTGGATAGTTAATAAATGAAGTCCTTATTGGTGAAAATAAGTGGGTTCTCCTATCCTGATCAGAGGACACTCAGAGCCAGCCTCAGTACTACATTGGAGAGAAATCTTTATTATTTGTTTCCAGTGTGGCAGTGGGTCACAGGCAGAGTCGATGTTACTGCTAGGTGTTTCTCAGGCCTGGGGCAAGTGCCTTGGCTCCAGAGTACTTTGGTAGTAGAAAGTTGCCCCACGTTTGCTTACATGTTACAAAGGGTGACATCTAGTGGTAATTTACAACTTTGAGCATATTTACCCTATAAACACATCCTGCTCCCAGCCCTTCCATAGATGTAGACCCTGTTTGATAAGGGATTATATACTCATCTTAACAACTATGCTTACTCAGAAGTTGTCATTGCCTAACTTCTAAGTCTAAAAGAAGGAAATTCGAGAAATTCCCCTGACTGAGTCTTACAATATTTCCAGAGTCATGCGCATATAAGAAGGGAAGGGTAAGAAGGCAGGAAAATTGGGCTGTGTACTGGTTATATCTTAGATACACCAGGTAGATTTATCTATCTGATTTATCTATAAAGAATTAACAAAATAAAAATACACATTTGCTAGAATTTAATATAGTGTGTAGGTGGAGGAGTAGGGTTGTGTGTTGGAAACCTATCAGAGTGAAAGGAGAATTATATATTTCAGTGGTCTACACATCTGAATGTAGACACATAAGTGGTAGATACAGAAACTTATCTACAGGGAAAGGTTAGAAGAAACAACTTGGTGGTCAGTTCACTGGAAGAGAGGGTTGTTTGCTTGTCTGCAAGTGCATTCACAGAGCCAGCACACTCTTTTTACAAAACCCAGTAAACCCCATATAAGGGTGTGTGTGTGTGTGTATAGTGTGTGTATAGAGTGTGTATAGTGTGTGTATAGTGTGTATGTGTGTGTGTATATATATATATATGCAAATGATGATAAGCTATTATTGGTCCTCTGGGCGGAGGAGGACAAAAAAGAGGAAAAGGGGAATAATAACAGCTAAAGTTTATTGAGAAATTATTATACTTCAAATTAAGTGCTTTATGTATATTTTCTCTTTAAATTCCTATACTAATCCTTGAAGGTAGGTTCTGTTATTTTCATTTTACGGATGAAGAAATGCAAGTTCATCTTTCTTAAAATCACAGAGATGTTAAGTAGAAGTGCCAATATTTGGACTGTGGCCTTAACAAATTCCAAAGTTCATGCTCATAAACTCTATGCTAAAAATGTTACAACAGGTGGGATGTTGTGGCTCAAGCCTATGATCCCAACACTTCGGGAGGCTGACACAGGAGGATTGCCTCAGGGCAGGAGCTTGAGACCAGCCTGGGCAACATAGGGAAACCCCCTCTCTACAAAAATAAAAAAATTGCCAGACGTGGTGGCCCCAGCCTGTAGTCCCAGCTACCTGGGAGGCTAAAGTGGGAAGATCTTTCGAACCCAGGAGACTGAGGCTGCAGTGAGCCGTAATTGCACCACTGCACTCCAACCTGAGTGACTGAGTGAGACCTTGTCTCCTAAATTAATAAATTAAATAAGAATAAATAAATATTTTTAAAATTATTGCAAGATTTTTATCACTTTCTGGTGAGATATTGCTTTGCAAAGTTTGTCTATTAAATGTTGCTATCTAAATCCCATTAAGATAATTTGGATTTCAATTAGAACCCAAAAGATTATAAGCACAGATGGTTTGAACCTTCTTTGCTGTTTCTCATTGTGCACATATATCAGAACACTTGTTTAATTTTCTTATGATTATTTCTTCTTAGGCGATTTGGCAATTCAAATCTTCACTGCTGTTTTCCTAACATAGTTAAAATAAAGTGAATAATTAAGCACTTGCTTGTGAATTTTCTGGTAGATCATCATAGTAATGCTATACCACTTTTATGACAAGCTGTAAAACAAATGAAGGTTAAGGAATATACCAAGTTATGTAGAACATTTGGGGTAAAATGCATTTGTACACATTTTTTTTAGGTTTTAAAAATGTCTTTTTTAGATGGGCCTCTTCCTTATGTTAATCTCATATATTTGTTTGGAATATTAGGATCTAGGTCAGCTCAGAGAAATGTATTTGTGTCAGCCAGGTGTGGTGGCTCATGCCTATAATCCCAGCAATTTGGGAGGCCAAGACAGGAGGATCACCTGAAGTCAGGAGTTCAAGACTGGCCTGGTCAACATGGTGAAAGCCCATCTCTACAAAAATACAAAAATTAGACAGGCATGATGGCAGGTGCCTATAATCCCAGCTACTCGGGAGGCTGAAGCGGGAGAATCACTTGAACTCATGAGGTAGACGTCACAGTGAGCTGAGATCGTGCCATTGCACTCCAGCCTGGGTGACAGAGCGAGACTCCATCTCAAAAAAAAAATACATATATATATATACACATGTATATATATATATATACACGTGTATATATATATATATACACGTGTATATATATACACATATATATATACACGTGTATATATATACACATATATATACACGTGTATATATATACACATATATATACACGTGTATATATATACATATATATACACGTGTATATATGTATATATATACATGTATATATATGTATATATATACATGTATATATATGTATATATATACATGTATATATATGTATATATATACATGTATATATATGTATATATATATATACATGTATATATATAATTTGTGCCTTTCACATTGACTCTAATGTCTTTAACTTTTATTACCCTGTATTTTCCAATCATTCCCCTTAAAGCCTCAAAAAAAGAAATATGATGAGGAATTTCAAATTCAAAGCCCTAAAATTGATCTTGTATTTTCATCTCTCATGTCCTTGCTTAGAAACAGCCCCAGCTAATTTTTATATAAACCTGGATGCATAGCTATTAACTGAAAATGGATTTGTTATCATTGAACCTGAAGGATCCAAAGGTTTCTAACAAGGTGGAAATGGTTGAGTATTCTTTGCCTTAGCAGTCATGAGTACTGAGTATGTGGAGAAAAGTTAAGTTGTCCAGCCATCTATTGAAGGATATATTAAGGCCAAATACATTCTATTTCAGAATGATACCATATTAATAATTCTATTCTCATAGTTTATAACATCAATACTTCTAAGAAGGTTGATTATATAATATTACCTCTAAATACTAAAAGAAGTAATTGAAAAAATTCAACAAGTCCAAAACAATTAATTATTTAATTAATAAAAACTCTGGAAGCCAATCTAGAGAGCTGCATATTCAATTTAGGAACAGGAAAGGTATTCTTAATAAAGAATATAAAAGAGAAGACAAATGACTTTGTTTTTATATAAATTTCAAACTTTTATGTGAAAAATAATATAAACAAATCTATAAATATAATTTGAAGGGGAATTGCACTTTAGAAGGCAGAGGTTTGATACAATGAGCTACTTAAAATAGAGAACAAGGACACAATCTAATAGCAAAATAGGTAAAAGATATTGAGGAACCATTCGCAAAACAAAAATGCAGCAGCTATCAAATATATGCAAAGATGCTCAAAATCACTAATAGGTGAAAAAACACAGTGAGATTGACAGCTTTTAGACTGGCCAAAATTAAAACAAAGCAAAATAAAGCAATAACTTCTTTTGCTGGCTGAGACCTAAGCAAAGATGCACTGTTCCACATTGCTGGTAGAAATATGACTTTCATAGAGTTTTAGATAGCAACTTAGCAATATCTATTCAAATTAATATGATATATACTTTTGACTCTGCACTTCATGTTGGAAATCTTATTGCTGGAAATAAGAGCATACTGAATAAATAAGCATGCTTATTGTAGCATTATTTTTAGTTGGTAAAACTGGGCACCAAAGAAAATGTTAATCAGTAGAGGAATATTATGGCCCATTCATATAATAGAATACTATGTACTACTTAATGAATTAGAGATACACTAGTTGGCTTGGATAGATTTCAAGAGATTCCTCTTGAGTAAATAAGTCAAAATGTGAATAGTATGATATAATTTCTGTAAAACAAGAATAAGCATTATCAAATATTTACTAAACACTCATTTATCTATAGGACACTCTCCTAGAGTTTAGTGTAATGATATAGGGAAGTGAATTACCTCTGTTTTGAAGTGAATTACTGGTGTTTTGTTTGTATACAGGGCATACATATAATAAATCACACAACAATATAATGTAGCATGGAACTCCTTAAAAAATGAGTGCTATAAATAGTGCTATGGTTTCCAATGAGTTGCTGTAAACATTTCTGAAATCATATGTGGATCAAGACTTATCTATAGCTCAATGAAACATGTTACTAATAGGAGTCTTAGCTTCTCATAATAAAAATGATAGCATCAGGTATTGGTAAACAGAAAAATTGAGATAATATAAGTACATCACTCAGCACAGTGCCTTGCACAGAATTAAATACATTAAATGACAGTTATTATTCTCATTGTTAGTTTTATTAGTTTTCCTCATTGTTTGTCATTATTAGTTTTTCAAATCCGTTTTGCAATTGACAAAATATGCAATTATTTCAAATATTTTTGAACTTTCTGTATTTTTCCCCAGCATTTTATTGTGAAAATTTTTATACATACAGGAAATTTGAAAGAACTTATTGAGGAACACATCCATTCTGCCATTCACCCATCAAACCATATCTTTTTTTAATGCATTTTAGAGTAAGTTGTAGATATCAACACATCCCCTAAATCTTCTTGTAGCTTCTTCTGTTTGTTTATTTGGCTTGGTGTAGCTCTTCATGCTGTTATGTATTTTCTAAGCTAATCGACTTTCCACTCTCTTTTTGAGGACAATGAAAAATATAGTATTAAAAGTGGTAAACATTGACATAGAGTAAAAAGATTATAGAATTTAGAAGACAAAGTTGTTACTAATGTCTGGGAATTCATCAAACAGACATGAACTTGAACCTCCTATTGAAGGATAGCCAAGAAACAGGCAATGGAGCAAGCAGGATGAAAGCATTCAATGAAAAGAGATATGGGAAGTTTTGGAGGTAGGATCATAGAGGAGTAGACCAATTTAGCTGGGAAAGAGGATTGAAATAGGGTTCTTTCTTTCTAAAAGCCATAAGTAGTATATTTTGCCATTATGTTTCTAAAATTTGTTGAAAACTGTACCCTAGGTTTTCACAAGCCAGTCTAAAAAGTCTAGCATCTACCCACTATACTGTTGGTACTCTTTTATTAGAGCTATGATATTTTCTTTTGTATTTCTGTTATTTTGCTTTAATGTTTGGGTTACTGGTGATAGCCCTCCTATATAGTAAAAAAGTTGGTACCACTTTTTAAATGAACTTTTCAGTTTGAAATAATTTTAGATTTATAGAAGACTTACAAAGATAATACAGAATTCCCTCCCCTACTTCTCCTATTAACATCTATGAGATAACTGTGGTACAATTGTGAAAACTAAGAAACTAACATTTGTACCTTATAATTAACCAAACTCTGAACTTTATTTGGATTTCACTGGTTTTCCCACTAATGTCCTTTTTCCATTCCAGCATCTAATTCTAAATTCCACAGTGTGTTTACTTGTCATGTCTTATTAGGCTCATCTTGGCTTTGACAGTTTCTCATTATTTCCTTGTATTCATGACCTTGACAGTTTTGAGGATTACCGATTGGGTATTTTGTAGAATGTCCCTCAATTTGGATTTGTCTGATTTTTTTTAAGCTTAGATTGGGATTACAAATTTTTGGAAAGAATATCACAGAGGTGAAGTGTCCTCATCATATCAGTGGGAACATGCTATCAATATGACTTATCACTGGTGATATTAATCTTGATTACCTGTCCAAAGTAGTGTTTGTCAGATTTCTTCATTATAAAGCTACCCCTTCCCTTTACATTTTCTGTTTTATGAAAGCACATAACTAAGTCTAGCTCACACTCAAAGGATGGGGGTAGGGGACAGGAATTAAAGTTTTCTTCTGGATGTGGAGGTATCTATAAAGCTTATTAAGAATTCTTTTGTACTAAAATTTTCTTCACCATTTATTTATTGATTATACTAGTAAATAGTTATGTATATTTCTTTTATAGTTTGAATTCTAATCTAATACTGTATTATTTTGTTATTGTTGTTGCTCAATTTTTTCCAGATTTAGAGATTGGGAGCTTTTTCAGGTTGGCTCCTGTGTCTCTTTGACATGTCCCCATCTTTTTGTCTTTTGTGCATTTCCTTACTTGCTGTCACTACACAATTCTGCAGGCACGTCTTGTATTGCTGCTATCCCAGCCCTGGAATCATCTATTTATCCAAGGAATCATGTTTCCTTTACTTGGAAAATAGTATTTAGAAACTGGATGTGCTCATTGCTACTGAAGTGTCACTATTTCCAGGCCCTCTCAGAGGGTAGAATTAGGAAATATATTTATGAATATGAACCCATATTTGTAAACATATCTATAATTTTATATATATATATAATCCATCTGTATCCATGTGCATTTTGTCTTTAGCCTCCAGTTTCCAATCAAAACACTGATTTCCAGAGTTACTTAGGTTAGCTCCTTTCCACCCCTTGCCCTTGATTGAGTTGAAATCACTTTTAATGAACCTTATATTTCCAGGTTGCACAGTGTATGGAGTTTCAAACTCAAGTATATCATGTAGAAAATATTTTTCTGTAGGTAATCAGACTGACTTCTTTTATTTCAATATTCTATAAGCTACATTTTGACTTTTTATGATGTTCTTATTATTTATATATGCCATCTAATTTAATTCTCTATTCTTTCTTACTCTGTGACTGGGTACCCATTTATAATAGGCCTGCTCTCTCATTTCCTTTCATCTGGTGCAGACATCCTCAATGCAATCTTGTCTCCTTGCTGGCCTCCTCTGTGGCATAAATCATGCCACCTGGACCTTAGGAGCCATTAGTTGTCATTCATTCTTAATATCTGCTATAATTCCAGTAACTGAATGAATATACTCTGTCCTCTTCTTATCCTGACCTTAGATCTTTTCCGGTCAGCCAGCCTTCTCAGAATTCCCATACCCCTTGGGAAACTCAGCAGTATCAGTAGCTCTCCTTATACCACCTTGAGCTGTGATATGTTCTGTAAGGCTGCGGAAACATCATCTAGACAGTGCCCAGAGCTATTGCTATAGCCCCCTTCAATAAAACCCCTGCACTCCTGATTTTCCCCAAAACAATATGTGACTTTTATCGTTGAGATTTCTCTTTTTCTATTCCTCCAGTGTGAGGTACAATGGGAAAGGGTGCCTGGTCATTTTACAAGAGCTCAGGATCTCATAAATCTCTTCTATTTTGTTCCTTCTCCAGTCTTCCAGTTCAGTTTTTATCTCCTTAAAATTGGAAAGGGTTCTTATGCCATTACATAATCTTCTTTACCATATGTCTCTATGTGTTAAATTCTTTAGGTTCTGTCTGATATTTTGGATCCTAAGAATGCTATTGATTCTGAACAAAGTCATACTATTCCAGTAGAAGCATTACTTTTGAAAGTGTTGTTTATGCTTTATGTTTTAAAACCTTCTTGAAATGCACTTGTCTTCATTGTTCTTGGGTTTTTCTGCTTGAGGGCAGTGAATATATGGAATGCCAGAAATTTATTCACTTCAATTTAAGTAGCTATGTTTATTAAATAGCTATATGTCTTCCATGTTTGCAGATTATTAAAACAGGACCTGATTATTTAAAAACTCAGAAATACAATATGTTTTAGCAACTTATAATTTTTTCCATGTTTCAAAATTGGTAAACTTAAGAAATGAGGTGATTTGTTTCCAGTCACCCTTTAGGAAACCATTATTCCTGCCTGGATGATAGACTCAGGAGCTAGGAGCAGTGAGGGTTGGAAAGCAAATGTTTAGTATTTCAAAACAATCTCTGAAATACATAACCACATACATATATATATGTAGATACATATATAGTCACAAAAATAGTCACAATCTCTGCTGTCTATGAAGACAATCCCAATAATTGCAATAAATTCTACAAATTCTCCTTGGATATCTTGCATGCACTTATAAATACATCATTCTAGACTGCAACATGGAATTCCATATTCCTGGACCCACCCTACTTCAGTCTGCCCCCATTGCAGTGATGTCTGATGCTGTCACTCTGAAGCTCAGGAAGCCTGATGAAGGTGTCTTGCTGCTGCTGTTGCCACTGACACCTGTCCAGGTCATGCTGTGGTGATTCCACAAGGAGTCAAGTCAACCTGCAGAAGGCAGAAGGCCCTCTCCTGACATTTCTACCCTAGTTACCCTGATCCCAGAGCACTGATGCTCTGTGCTCTCAGCAACCCAGGACATTGTTTAAGAGGATAGCTTTTCAGTTACTTTCATTTTCTCACTGGGGACTTCCTCTCACAAAACATAGGCCAAAGTCTTCCTACTTATGGTATGAAAAGGTGAGGAAGAAGAGAGTGGAAAGTCAAAACAAAATAGCAAGAGGCATTCCAGAGCACATAAAATCATCCAACTCTACCAACTGCCATTATCTTATTGGAACAAGACTGAAATACTCAGCTCATTCTCCTCTTACTAAAAGTTTTTCCCCAAGAAGTTTTGTTGGTCAGAGGTCCCTAGAAGATTTCTTCTGCCAGTGTTCTGGATGTATCCCTTTGAGAAATTCTGAAGTACACAAAACGTAAGTTCAAGCTTGGACCTCTGCTATATAAATATAACAACATTAGTTGTATTAGTCTGTTTTTAGCCTGCTGATAAAGACATACCCTAGACTGGGAAGAAAAAGAGATTTAATTGGACTTACAGTTCCACATGGCTGAGGAGGCCTCAGAATCACGGTGGGAGGTGAAAGGCACTTCTTACATGGTGGTGGCAAGAGAAAATGGGAAGAAGCAAAAGCAGAAACCCCTGGTATAACCATCAGATCTCATGTGACTTATTTACTATCATGAGAATAGCACAAGAAAGACTGGCCCCTATGATTCAATTACCTCCCCATGGGTCCCTCCCACAACACATGGGAATTCTGGGAGATAAAATTCAAGTTGATAGTTTGGGTGGGGACAGAGCCAGACCATATCATTCCACCCCTGGCCCCTCCAAATCTCATGTCCTCATATTTCAAAAATCAATCATGCCCTCCCAACAGTCCTCTGAAGTCTTAACTCATTTCAGCATTAACCCAAAAGTCCACAGTCCAAAGTCTCATCTGAGATAAGGCAAGTCCCTTCTGCTTAGGACCCTGTAAAATCAAAAGCAAGCTAGTTACTCCCTAGATACAATGGGGGTAAATACAACCATCCCATATGGGAGAAATTGGCCAAAACAAAGGAGTAACAGGGCCCATGCAAGTCCAAAATCCAGTGGGGCAGTCAAATTTTAAAGCTCCAAAATTATCTCCTTTGACTCCAGGTCTCACCTCCAGGTCATGGTGATGCAAGAGGTGGGTTCCCATGGTCTTGGGCAGCTCCATCCCTGTGGTTTTACAGGGTACAGCCTCCCTCCTGGCTGCTTTCACAGGCTGGTATTGAGTGTCTGCAGCTTTTCCAGGCACACGGTGCAAGCTGTTGATGGATTTAGCATTCTGGGATTTGGAGTAAGGTGGCCCTCTTCTCACAGCTCTCCTGTGCCCCAGTAGGGACTCTGTGTGGGGGCTCTAACCCCACATTTCCCTTCTGCACTGTCCTTGCAGAGGTTCTCCGTGAGGGCCCCACCCCTGCAGCAAACTTTTGTCTGGGCTTCTAGGCATTTCCATACATCTTCTGAAATCTAGGAGGAGGTACCCACACCTCAATTCTTGACTTATGTGCACCCACAGGCTCAACACCATGTGGAAGTTGCCACAGCTTGGGGCTTGCAACCTCTGAAGCCACAGCCTGAGCTGTACGTTGGCCCCTTTCAGCCACAGCTGGAATGGCTGGGACATTAAGTTCCTAGGCTGCACACAGCACAGGGACCCTGGGCCCTGCCCACAAAACCACTTTTTCCTCCTGGGCCTCCAGGCCTGTGATGGGAGGGGCTGCCATGAAGGTCTTTGACATGGCCTGGAGATATTTTCCCAATGGTCTTGGGGGTTAACATTAGGTTCCTTGCTACTCATGCAAATTTCTGCAGCCAGCTTGAATTTCTCCCCAGAAAATGGGGTTTTCTTTTCTATTGCATACTCAGGCTGCAAATTTTCCAAATTTTTATGCTCTGCTTCCCTTATAAAACTGAATACCTCTAACAGTACCCAAGTCACTTCTTGAATGCTTTGCAGCTTAGAAATTTCTTCCACCGGATACCCTAAATCATCTTTCTCAAATTCAAAGTTCTGCAGATCTCTAGGGCAGGGGCAAAATGCCGCCAGTCTCTTTGCTAAAATGTAACAAGAGTCACCTTTACTCCAGTTCCCAACAGCTTCCTCATCTCCATCTGAGACCACCTCAGCCTGGATCTTATTGTCCATATCACTATCAGCATTTTGGGCAAAGCCATTCAACAAGTTTCTAGGAAGTTCCAAACTTTCCCACATTTTCCTGTCTTCTTCTGAGCCCTCCAAACTGTTCCAACTTCTGCGTGTTACACAGTTCCAAAGTTGCTTCCACATTTTCGGGTATCTTTTCAACAATGCCCCACTCTGCTGGTACCAATTTATTGTGTTAGTCTGTTTTCACCCTGCTAATAAAGACATATCCAAGACTAGGAAGAAAAAGAGGTTTAATTGGATTTACAGGCCTCAGAATCATGGCATGAGGTGAATGGCACTTCTTACATGGTGGCAGCAAGAGAAAATGAGGAAGAAGCAAAACAGAAACCCCTGATAAACCTATCAGATCTCATGATACTTATTCAATATCATGAGAATAGCACAGGAAAGATCAGCCCCCATGATTCAGTTACCTCCCCCTGGGTCCCTCCCACAACACTTGGGAATTCTGGGAACTACAATTCAAGTTGAGATTTTGGTGGGGACACAGCCAAACCATATTATAAGTGCCTTGGTATACACAGAGAATTGACTCCAGGACCTCCGGAGCATGCCAAAACCCACAGATGCTCATGTTTCTTATAAAAAATGATGTAGTATTTGCATATGACATACACCTGTCCTCTTGGATACTTTAAATTGTTCTCTAGATTACTTACAATACCTAATACAATGTAAATACCATATAAATATGTATTGCACTGCATTTTTTAATTTTTGCTTTTTATTGTTATAGTGTTATTTTTATTGCATTTTTCCAAATATATTAGATCCACAGTTAGTTGAATTGAGGTACAGAAGGCTGACTATACTTATATACATTAATTGCCATCTAGAACTGTATTTTGCTTTATGTTGATTATGATAATCATCTGATGTGCAGATCCTGATACTGTGTTAGGTAGTGCTTTCACTTTATTTTTTTTTTAACTAGATGACTATGAGTAATATAATAATTGTAGTGTTTTTCTCTCTTGTTTATTTCTTGATTAGGAAATGGAGACCCAGAAAGCTCTCAGCTAGTGCCCTTTATATCACCCCATAGCACTTAGCATGAATCTAAACAAACAGGACTCAGTAGATACTCAATGACCTAAATGCTTATTTTATTTTGCAAAACTATCTGTGTTTGTTTTCTTTCCAAGTTGCTCTACAAAGATTAATTTTAAAGTGTTCACAGGAAGTAGCCAATAGTGTTGAATGATATATAACCTTGAATAAGTTGTGGAATTTGCATGAAGAATAATAACATGGACTTGTGAATATAAAAATTTGTAGATAATTTAAAAGAAAATATAGGACACAATAATACTTCAAACCTTTGAGAAAAAGAAATATCCCATTTCTGAAAATCCAGCCTGTAAATCGTGTATTCAGCATATTATCTATTATTTGAACATTTCCACAATTTAAAGCCACTTCTTTAAACTGTTGAAATAGAAACAAAAATGTTGTTTCTAATTATTTCCTAATTATCTACAATAAAAATTACTTTCTACCATGCATTCCAATCTAGAAGCTTAAATCTCTAATATTGCTATTTTTACATAAATAATATTTTCCATTGAAAATGTAGATAAGCAAAAAATATAAGGCTAAATTATAACCAAACTCATCATTAATATTTTGGTATTTAATATTTTACATGTATTTCTATCTGTATAACTTTAAAATACCGGTATTATAGGTACTGCTTTTGCATTGAAAAATACATTGTAACACACTATGGGTTAATAAAATATGCTTTTATGACATATTTTAAAGGCCTTTGTTGAAGTTACTTTCCTCTAGAGAGGTTTTTTATTTGTTCTTGGGGACCAACGAGCATTAAAGTTATTTGAGATATTTTTGGATCACACAAGTGACATGAACTGGAACACCAAACCAAGGACCAGCTTTGGGGTTATTTATGATCTCTCTACCCAGCTTATGGAAACAGGGAAATTTCCTTGATGTCCCCTTCTTTAGGTTTTTTCATTTTTTCTTTCTTTTTACTTTTCCCTCTCTCCCTCCTTTCCTGCACCCTCCCTACCCCTCAACCCGTGTCTCTCTCTCTTTCTCATTTCCACTCACTCTGATAGCACAGCTCTCCACTGTGGTCTCATGATATACTCATGAGAGTATATCATGATATACTGTCCACTGTGCTGTCATGATACACTCCCTCTTTTGGGTGGATCCTATGCTTTATTCTCTGTCCCCAGCCTACAACCAAAAAAACTGGCTTGGCATTTCAAATATTTACTAAGCTTACTGATTTCACTTGTTTTTGGCTTTTGCATTTTTCTTCCCTCTTTGCCAGCTTAGTAATGAAGTTAAAATATATTTAATATATTATCCAGGATTTGACTTGTTTTTATCAAAAGGACTGTTCTCTGAGTCTATTCTGCCATATGACAAAAATGAGGATTAAGAAACTCACTCAAAACCACTCAACTACATGGAAACTGAACAACCTGCTCCTGAATGACTACTGTGTACATAACGAAATGAAGGAAGAAATAAAGATGTTCTTTGAAACCAACAAGAACAAAGACACAACATACCAGAATCTATGGGACACATTCAAAGCAGTGTGCAGAGGGAAATTTATAGCGCTAAATGCCCACAAGAGAAAGCAGGAAAGATCTAAAATCGACACCCTAACATCACAATTAAAAGAACTAGAGAAGCAAGAGCAAACACATTCAAAAGCTAGCAGAGGGCAAGAAATAACTAAGATCAGAGCAGAACTGAAGGAACTAGAGACACAAAAAACCCTTTGAAAAATCAATGAATCCAGGAGCTGGTTTTTTGAAAAGATCAACAAAATTGATAGACCGCTAGCAAGACTAATGAAGAAGAAAACAGAGAAGAATCAAATAGATGCAATAAAAAATGATAAAGGGGATATCACCACCGATCCCACAGAAATACAAACTACCATCAGAGAATACTATAAACATCTCTACGCAAATAAACTAGAAAATCTAGAAGAAATGGATAAATTCCTCGACACATACACTCTCCCAAAACTAAACCAGGAAGAAGTTGAATTTCTGAATAGACCAATAACAGGCTCTGAAATTGAGGCAATAATTAATAGCTTACCAACCAAAAAAATTCCAGGACCAGATGGATTCACAGCCGAATTCTACCAGAGGTACAAGGACGAGCTGGTACCATTCCTTCTGAAACTATTCCAATCAACAGAAAAAGAGGGAATCCTCCCTAACTCATTTGATGAGGCCAACATCATCCTGATACCAAAGCCTGACAGAGACACAACAATAAAAGAGAATTCAAGACCAATATCCTTGATAAACATTGGTGCAAAAATCCTCGATAAAATACTGGCAAAACGTATCCAGCAACGCATCAAAAAGCTTATCCACCATAACCAAGTGGGCTTCATCCCTGAGATGCAAGGCTGGTTCAACACATGAAAATCAATAAACGTAATCCATCATATAAACAGAACCAAAGACAAAAACCGCATGATGATCTCAATAGACGCAGAAAAGGCCTTTGACAAAATTTAACAACTCTTCATGCTAAAAACTCTCAATAAATTAGGTATTGATGGGACGTATCTCAAAATAATAAGAGCTATCAATGACAAACCCACAGCCAATATCATACTGAATGGACAAAAACTGGAAGCATTCCTTTGAAAACTGGCACAAGACAGGGATGCCCTCTCTCACCACTCATATTCAACATAGTGTTGGAAGTTCTGGCCAGAGCAGTCAGGCAGGAGAAGGAAATAAAGAGCATTAAATTAGGAAAAGAGGAACTCAAATTGTCCCTGTTTGCAGATGACATGATTGTATATCTAGAAAACCCCATTGTCTCAGCCCAAAATCTCCTTAAGCTGATAAGCAACTTCAGCAAAGTCTCAGGATACAAAATCAATGTGCAAAAATCACAAGCATTCTTTTACACCAATAACAGACAAACAGAGAGCCAAATCATGAGTGAACTCCCATTCACAATTGCTTCAAAGAGAATAAAATACCTAGGAATCCAGCTTACAAGGGATGTGAAGGACCTCTTCAAGGAGAACTATAAACCATGGCTCAATGAAATAAAAGAGGATACAAAGAAATGGAAGAACATTCCATGCTCATGGGTAGGAAGAATCAATATGATGAAAATGGCCATACTGCTTAAGGTAATTTATAGATTCAATGCCATCCCCATCAAGCTACCAATGACTTTCTTCACAGAATTGGAAAAAACTACTTTAAAGTTCATATGGAACCAAAAAAGAGCCCGCATTACCAAGTCAATCCTAAGCCAAAAGAACAAAGCTGGAGGCATCATGCTACCTGACTTCAAACTATACTACAAGGCTACAGTAACCAAAACAGCATGGTACTCTTACCAAAACAGAGATATAGACCAATGAAACAGAACAGAGCCCTCAGAAATAATGCCGCATATCTACAACTATCTGATCTTTGACAAACCTGAGAAAAACAAGCAATGGGGAAAGGATTCCCTATTTAATAAATGGTGCTGGGAAAACTGGCTAGCCATATGTAGAAAGCTGAAACTGGATCCCTTCCTTACACCTTATACAAAAATTAATTCAAGATGGATTAAAGACTTAAATGTTAGACCTAAAACCATAAAAACCCTAGAAGAAAACCTAGGCAATACCATTCAGGACATAGGCATGGGCAGGGACTTCATGTCTAAAACACCAAAAGCAAAGGCAACAAAAGCCAAAATTGACAAATGGGATCTAATTAAACTAAAGAGCTTCTGTACAGCAAAAGAAACCACCATCAGAGTGAACAGGCAACCTACAGAATGGGAGAAAATTTTTGCAACTTACTCATCTGACAAACGGCTAATATCCAGAATCTACGATGAACTCAAACAAATTTACAAGAAAAAAACAAACAGCCCCATCAAAAAGTGGGCAAAGGATATGAACAGAGATTTCTCAAAAGAAGACATTTATGCAGCCAAAAAACACATGAAAAAATGTTCATCATCACTGGCCATCAGAGAAATGCAAATCAAAACCACAGTGAGATACCATCTCACACCAGTTAGAATGGCGATCATTAAAAAGTCAGGAAACAACAGGTGCTGGAGAGGATGTGGAGAAATAAGAACACTTTTACACTGTTGGTGGGACTGTAAACTAGTTCAACCATTGTGGAAGTCAGTGTGGCAATTCCTCAGGGATCTAGAACTAGAAATACCATTTGACCCAGCCATCCCATTACTGGGTATATACCCAAAGGATTATAAATCATGCTGCTATAAAGACACATGCACACATATGTTTATTGCGACACTATTCACAATAGCAAAGACTTGGAATCAACCCAAATGTGCAACAATGATAGACTAGATTAAGAAAATATGGCACAAATACACCATGGAATACTATGCAGCTATAAAAAATGATGAGTTCACGTCCTTTGTAGGGACATGGATGAAGCTGGAAACCATCATTCTCAGCAAACTATCGCAAGGACAAAAAACCAAACACCGCATGTTCTCAGTCATAGGTGGGAATTGAACAATGAGAACACATAGACACAGGAAGGGGAACATCACACGCTGGGGCCTGTTGTGGGGTGGGGGGAGGGGGAAGGGATAGCATTAGGAGATATACCTAATGCTAAATGATGAGTTAATGGGTGCAGTACACCAACATGGCACATGTATACATATGTAACAAACCTGCACGTTCTGTACATGTACCCTAAAACTTAAAGTACAATAATAAAAAATTAAAAAAAGAATATTTACTTTGAAAGATTAAAGATATATTATGTGTACTTATATTTGTATTCTTCCTAAGTGAAATTATTCTTTAAATGTTTATGAAATAATAATATTATAATTGCCAGTGAAATTTCTTTAAAAAGCTTATTTTATGATATCATAGGGTAGATAATAATCCAGCAACTATTTTTTAAATACTTATGAAGTATCAGAGTCATGTCTGTTTTTAAATTAATAAGCTTTCAGTATTATCATTATTCTACTTTTACAGAAATATTGGTTTACAGAAGTATGGAATGGAAAGTAGAGTGTTCCCATGTACTCTCACACCTGCACCCCAGCCCTATTAATAGATTCTCCTATTATTAACACGTTGCATTAGTGTGGTACATTCATTACAACTGAAGAGTTAATATTCATGAAATATTATTACAAATATATCTTTTGACATATAGTTTTGGGTCCTTTCAATAATTGGACAAGATATATATTATCCCCAATTTCAAAAGTAGGGAAACTAAGATTGAATACCAAACCTGGATTCACTCAGAAATGTATAAGAACATGAACTTGGGCCCTTATTTTCACTTTTCTTTCTATTTTAACTCTTTTGAGTAATGTTATATTATAAGTATCTCTTGCTTGATGAAATATATGCTTGGTATTATCAAAGAAATTCATAATAGGAAAGCACTTAATCCTGAGATCTCATTTCAAGAACTAGAATGCATATCTCATGCTTTTCTAGTATAACTGTCGTAAATTAGGATTAGGACACTAATCTGTGGTTGCCTTTCCCTGTGATCTCACTAGGAATGAAAACTAATAATTGTTTTGCAATTACTGTGGCCTAATTTGTCAGTTTTTTTTTTTTTTTTTTTTTTTTTTGAGACGGAGTCTCGCTCTGTCGCCCAGGCTGGAGTGCAGTGGCGGGATCTCGGCTCACTGCAAGCTCCGCCTCCCGGGTTCACGCCATTCTCCTGCCTCAGCCTCCCAAGTAGCTGGGACTACAGGCGCCCGCCACTACGCCCGGCTAATTTTTTGTATTTTTAGTAGAGACGGGGTTTCACCGTTTTAGCCGGGATGGTCTCGATCTCCTGACCTCGTGATCCACCCGCCTCGGCCTCCCAAAGTGCTGGGATTACAGGCGTGAGCCACCGCGCCTGGCCAATTTGTCAGTTTTAAAAAATAAGTTTTATTTTGTATGTTTAAAGTAAGCAACATGATGTAATGGGATACATATAAATAGTAAAATAGTTACTATAGTGAAGCAACATAGCCATCATCTCACATCATTCCCGTTTATTTTGTTTTTGCGACAAGAGCAACTGAAATCTTTAGTGGGAATCCCAAATACGGTACAATTGTATTGCCTGTGGTCCTCAGGTTGAGCATTAGGTCTCTAGACCTGTTCATCTTAAACATCTGCTACTTTGTGATCCCTGAGCTACTTTCCCCCATTTCCTCTCCATCCTCCACCTCTAGTAACCAATTTGATTCTCTATGTCTGTATATTTGACTCTTTTTTTCAGATTCCACATGTAAGTGAAATCATGCAATATTTTTTCTTTCTGTATCTGGCTTATTTCACTTAATGTCTTTCAAGTTCACTCATGTTGTGGCAAATGGCAGGATTTCCTTCTTCTTAAGGCTGAATAATATTCCATTGTATATATATGCTACAGTTCTTTAATCTATTTGTCCAATGAAATATATTAAGGTTGTTTCCATATCTTGGCTACTGTGAATAATGCTGCAGTGAATGTGCACGTGTAGATAATCTTTACAAGGTGGTGATTTCATTTCCTTTGGGTATATGCCCAGAAGAGGGATTGCTGGATCTTAGGGTAGTTCTATTTTTAATTACTTTAGGAAACTCCATACTGTTTTCTAGAATGGTTACACCAATCTAAATTCCCACCAATAGTGTATAAGTGTTTCCTTTTATCCGCACTCTTGCTAACATTTGTTATCTAGACTTTTTGATAATAGCCATCCTAAGGGGTCCGAGGTGATATCTCATTGTGGTTTTGATTTGCATTCCCTGATGATTAATGATGTTGAGTGCATTTTCATATACCTGTTGTCCATTTTTAAATCTTTTTTGGAAAAATGCCTATTCAGGTCCTTTTTTAAAGTGGCCCAATTTAATCTTGTTGTTATAAGGCCTTGCTCTTTGTCAAATAACAATATGGAGATACATTAACCCAGAAACAATGCCTTGTTTCTTATAACACCTCAAGTCATTAATTTCCTTTTAGCCATGTTGATTATTCTTCTTATAATTTTAACTGGATTTTGGCAGCTGGTTATGTTTTTGTTTAATAACAACTATAGGACCTAAACAGCAAAGATATACTACCCTATCTATAAATTATTTCTTTGTATAATGGTGGCCACAGTAAATCTATACCTTTTATTTATTAATTGCAAAGTCATTTTATACATAAAGATGGATCTATACAACCAATCTATATGAATAGTGGTTTATGTTAATTTAAATATCATTATCAGAACTGATTACACTTTAATGTAAAAAAAGTCAATACTGTTTGTCTTAAAAGCAAACGTGTTGCATCTAATTTATTTCAAATACGATTTTCCCTCAGTGCTGGTAGGAAATTGGTTCCAGAATCTCCCTCGAATATGAGAATCCACAGATGCTTAAGTCCTTTATATAAAATGGGGTAGTATTTGCATATAATGTATACCCATCTTCCCATATACTTTAAATCATCTCTAGTTTACACGTAATACCTAATACAGTAGCTACACACCTCTTCATTCATGTGGATTCAACATAGTACTTGTGTAGCAAATTCAAGTTTTACCTTTCAGAACTTTGTGAAATTTCTTTTTCTGAATAGTTTTTATCTGCAGTTCCTTGAATCCATTACCAGGGAACCCACAGATACAGAGGGCTGACTATATTCTGTATATTAGTGGAACCCAGTTTCACCCATCCCTTCCCTCAATGCTTTGGTCTAACAGTAACTTTGAGTCTCTTGGCATGATATATAAGGTAACACACTACACCCGAAGGAAATGAGCCCAAGTCCAGTCTTTTGCATGTTCTAACACAACCATAATTAGTTTCCTGTAACTTATAGAATTTCAAAACCATGGTACATTACTATCATATTAATTGAAAATATATTAATGTGACTGTATGTTTTGTATTATAGTAAATGGACATCCAGCACTCAAACGAGCTAACATCCGGGTTGTTGGAAAGTTGGTGGCCCGATCCATAAGAGAAAGGAAAATGAGACAACATTATAAGTCATGTAAAGTTGAATGATGTTTCCAACATATTATTACCTGTAATAGTTAAACTTCTCTACCCAAAGAGACAAGTTAACACTGGAGGTGGATCAATTCTGTATGAGTAGGAAGAAAGGATAAAAATCTTTGAATATAGAAAGAACTTTGACAAGTTTATCTATAATTTCTAGTATTTTTGGATGAACACCATTCATTTGATCTCCTTCATAAAAAACATCTCTTTTATCATAATGAAGTAAACCTGCAGAGTGTCAAGTACTCCTTTCATTAGACTATAATTTATGTTGTTCCATTACCAATAACAACCATAAAGAAACTTTAAAATTCTTATTTCTAAAACTCATGAATCTGGTATACAATACTGTTGGATTCACCTTTTTTGTTCTTTAAAAAGGTAACAGTGTGATGTTTCATTGAAATCATATATGTCAAAAAATTTCTTTGTTTTCCATAATGTCCTTTATTATGTAAAGTTTTTGGAAATGGTTGTTTTAAACTGTGTTAATTTTTGGTAGAGTCATGGTATTATTTTTCCCTACTCATTGCTCATTCTGAAGTAAAAAGGTGAGAAGCAATATACAGTATTCCTGAGTATTCCTGAGTTGATTTGCCTTAGCACTGAAATAATTTTTTTTTTTTTTTTTGAGATGCAGTCTGGCTCTGTCACCCAGGCTAGAGTGCAGTGGTGCAATCTCAGCTCACTGCAGCCTCCGCCTCCAGGGTTCAAGCAATTCTCCTGCCTCAGTCTCCCAAGTAGTCAGGACTACAGGTGCATGCCACCACACCCAGCTAATTTTTGTATTTTTAGTAGAGACAGGGTCTCACCATGTTGGCCAGGCTGGTTTCGAACTCCTGACCTCAAATGATCCGCCTTCCTCAGCCTCCCAAAGTGCTGGGATTACAGATGTGAGCCACCGCACCCAGCCCCAATGCTGAAAGAATTTGAAGCAAAGTTTTCTTAAGAATCTTTAATTTAATTTTATCCATCCATCTATCCATCCCTCTATTTTGAATGGAATTAGAGAAACAAGTGAGGAACCATAATCGAAGGAATAGAGTCTATACATAGCATAGAGGCTAGATATGAAAAGAGCTGGGAACTACATGACAAGTGTCCCATTGTTTCACAGCTTTTATTCTGCATCCATTACTTCTGTAATAGTCTCTTTGATTTTAAAACAAACAAAAAACTCTCAGGTTATTTTTATGCAATTGAGTTTACTATAAGAATATCTATGGAAGTTATTAAATCTTTAGAAAAGCCAATTACAAGAATCATGTTAAGTCAGGCCTCACCAAAACCAAACTCAAGGTGGACTAAAAATCATGATGAAGCGCTAACCAGAAAATTGTAACAAAAAAACCTTTGAGCAGGGCAAGGAAGTGATTACTAGCTAAAGCTAAAATGTGGAATTTGGCTTACCTGTGAAATTTAATTATGCATATTCTCCTTACTGATAATTGAATTTTATTTTAAAGGTAAAAGTATTTTTTGTTTACATACTGAAAAAATAGAAAATGCGCAACTTTTTAAAAAAGGGAAAAATTATGCAAGTTGAATATAAGCATGATTACAAGTCATCAGCCTGCTCCTTTTTTAAAACATAATTAGGATAAAAATTTGCCTACATTTCAACCACTGCTATTCCAAAAACATTAGGAGCAAAATCATGGAGTTAAAATGAAAGGCACTTACAAACTTAAATATAAGATTTCTTAATGAGTGTTGTGTAATCACTATTCCAAGTAGTAAATATATTTATAAGAGAAAATTAATAATATCACAATTACTTTATACAAATATAAAAGTTGTTCTGATTATGACAGTTTGGGACAGGATGTGGAAGTTCACTTTTCATTTAATAAAATGTGATTGTTCTTGTTTCAGGTTTTCTACATTTGACTCCTTGATTTTTAGCAAGTTGAAGTAAGGCTACTGAATGTCTTTTAGAGGTGTGATCCTACATTAAGTTCAGTGACAATATTTCACTCTAGAGCTGTAGAAGACAGTGTAAGGTCATGGAAAAGAAGCCTTCACTTTTCAGTAGTCAGTTTCTATATAAAAATTGGCACTTGGTGCTCATCAAAGAACAAGAAATATTGGATATGCTCTAAATGTCCATTGTGTTTTTGAGCCAACTACCTGATGGAAGTCATCACTTATATGTAAATGAACTGTCAATGGCTTGCCACAGTTGGCAATCACTGGACTGTGAAGGGTATGTCTTAATAAAAACTGAAGCTCTTCACAGACTTTGATTTACTGGAAATAAAATAGAAGAGTCCTCTGAGACTACAAAGGACACTTGTTTCAGATAAAACATCTAGACAGTAGCAATATATTTAGGGCTTTTATTATAGCAAAACTGCAAATTAGAATGGAGTGGTGAGAAAGTTCCTGTGACCCAGCTGAATTCTAAAACACTGCTTCTGACTGCAGTAATATGATCTTTAAAATAGCTAAGCCAAATTAAATAAAAGTGCATTAAGGAAAAAAACAGAAACAATGCAAGGTCAAGATTCAGGTTTGTTACATCTCTTAAATTGTTTATGACTTGTGTATTACATCTTCTTATGTATCTATAATTTTTTTAATCAGTGCAACTATTAGAATAGTTGAAAGCCCAACTTCTCTGGTCCTATAACATGGACTTCTCACAATATTCAAATTTAAGAGGATTTTTCTTTCCTATTCATTCCTTTCCCCAACTTCCATCCCAAGCACAAACACAATTGAAACACGGAATTCTGTGTAACTATTAATATTTTTATTGTTTAATTAATAATAATATATTTGTAAAATGCTTTTGAGTTGGCAGTATACTTTTGCACCAATATGAAGCAGCTTGAATATGTAGATCACATTTTTATATTGACTACTTTCTCCCAAAGCACAGTATGTTCACAGATGTACATCAGTCAGGGTAGGTTAAAAGTGTTAAACGGCAATCCTAATAATCCCATTGCTCACTTTACATTCCAGTGTGAATAGGCAGGGACTCTGTTCCATTTTTTTGTTTTCAAACGGAGTTTCACTCTTATTGCCCAGGCTGGAGTTCAATGGTGTGATCTCGGCTCACTGCAACCTCCACCTCCCATGTTCAAGCGATTCTCCTGCCTCAGCCTCCCGAGTAGCTGGGATTACAGGCATGCACCACCACACCCGGTTAATTTTGTATTTTTAATAGAGATGGGGTTTCTCCATGTTGGTCAGGCTGGTCTCGAACTCGCGACCTCAGGTGATCCGCCTCCCTTGGCTTCCCAAAGTGCTGGGATACAGGCGTGAGCCACCGCGTCTGGCCTCCGTTCCATTCTTCAGGGCCAGCACTGCAGCCTTTGCACTCAGGCAATAGACAAAAAAGAGAGATTGTGGAGAAAGCTGACTTTCTTAACCACTTCAATCTGAACTTGGAACTTATCACTTCTACTCACATTCTAGAGGGGAGAACTTGTTAGCTGGTTCCCTCTAAATTATAGAAGTCTAGGAAATGTGGTCTAGCTTTGTATCAAAGAAGAGAGTGTGCCAATTTCTGCCAAAGAAAATGAGTTTAATTCCTCATTATTTTAGGAAACAAGAAATATTTCAAATAGCTTCACTTAGATTGTCATAAATCTGGTTTAAAATTTTTATTATAAAAATATCCAAACAATCCAGCCTTTCCTAGTTTCTTCTAGTTTCTTCCTAGTTTCTTCAAGATTTTGATAATAATTCCCTTGCACAATTCATCAGGAATCCTGAAAACAGCTAGCATCAATGTAAAGAAAACATATATTTTTTAAAAAAGTATTGATAGATACTTTTCCTTCTGGAATGAAGAACTCTGGGTTTTATTTTTGTTTATTTTTGTTTTTTGTTACTCAAGTACAAATTATGTAAAGTAAATAATTTTCAGTAATATGCTGATAAGAATAATTTTTCTTAATGAAAATAACAACAACAACAACAATTTTCGGTTTAGGAAATAGGCTATCAGAAACAAATACTTCCAAAACAGTGGAGAGGGACACAAAATGATATTGTCTCCAGATTTTTCTATGTAAATAATCAAGAAAAGAAAGGCCAATAAAACTGTGATAAGGTATGACTGTCTTACACCTCAGAAGTAATTCTTAACTTTATTCTAATAGGTTGAACAATTAAAAATTCTCTCTCTTCCCTCTCTTTTATGACTTGGAAACAAGTCAGGGGAAGGAAAAAGAGAAACCTTAAAGAAACAAAATTCTAAATAGATTTGCTAACAGTTTTGAACAAATGTGCTAGTTTAAATCTGCTGTCTTCAAGATTGCAAGATCTTTCTGGAATAAACCCTTAAACTTCCAAGATTTGGGATTGTTAAACAGATTTCATATTAGATATTTTTAAATTTGCGTGTCTCCTGATTTTTTTGGAGAAGTCTGCATATTTTGCTAATTTTCCACATTGTAGAACACGTATTTTCAATGTAATAATGATAATATTACACCAAACACTATTCAGCCTTCCTCACCCCCACAGAAAACTTTGCTTTAGAGCTTGGTTATGTAGGGATAAAGGGCAAGCACAGAGCATTCATCCTACTGGTATACCGCCTGGTATGGGGCCAGGTTCTGAAGTCAGCAGCTGTGGGGTGGCTTTCTGATTCAGTTTCCTGATTTTGGCAAGTGAGTTATGGGGTAATACAAGGAGTATTCATGGAACACCTCTTGCAATCTGTTTCTTCTGCAATCGCAACAATTTTGAGTTGTCTATGTGTCTTAGTAAATATCTTTCTGATTAATACAGCTAGTGTTACCCTGTCTTCTCTGAGAATCCTGACTCATGAGTTATCTTTCCTTCCTTCCTTCCTTCCTTCCTTCCTTCCTTCCTTCCTCCCTCCCTCCCTCCCTCCCTCCCTCCTTTCCTTCCTTTCCTCACTTCATCTTTTCCTCCCTTATTATTAAATAATGCTAGTCAATAAAGGCTCTACTAATAAAAATATATTTAAAAGTTAAGGTGCAGTTTTCAAAATGAAGACTTTTGAGGTACTCCATAAGCATATGCCAGATATCAGATATCCTGGTATGTCACATTGTTCCAAGCAATCCTAGTTCCACTTTTCCTCTGCATATTACTGCAGCTTCATCTTACTGGCAAGAATATTTGATATCCTAAATAGTATTCCTATAAGTGATTCTCTATACAAGAAAAGGCAGAGGTATCAGAAATGTAACTTTATATTTGATAGCAGCATGATTATTTATTTATTTATTTATTTTTGAGACGGAGTCTTGCTCTGTCATCCAGGCTGGAGTGCAGTGGTGCGATCTTGGCTCACTGCAAGCTCCGTCTCCCGGGTTCACGACATTCTCCAGCAGGATGATAATTTTATAAAACTCCAGAGGCTTGACAGTTGCTTATAATTCACAAAAATGAAAAGATGCAATAGGAAGATATTTATCAATTTAATCTCTCTGAATTTTGACAACATGTATATTAAAGACTAAAATATTTGTAAATTTAGTAGTAAATTTAGTACAATTTCAATGATAATGTAGTTATTCTGGAAGAAACGTCTCTCATGTAATTATATGACTAACAGAAGAAATATCGGGACTTTGTAATGTGTGAAATATGATTATAATGAAAACTGATGTTGTCTTATGCATGTGTAGGTTCTATAGATTTTCACTGTAAACCAAGAAACACGGCTAATCTGTAAAAGAGCCTGAAAACATGCATCTTTAAAACATCACCAGCTTTTTGATCTCAAATAGGTGATTTTCTTGATAAAAGTGTTTTTTAAAAATAAAATTCTCCTGTACTAAAAGAAAAATACCAATAACAAAAAAAGACTGTGAGGATAAAAATGTGAGTAACTATCTTATAGAATGGAGTAGCTGGAGTAGGTATTACTTATCTAGTCTAAGGCCCTCATTTTACAAAAGTAAAAGCTGAGATGAAGAGGGTAAGTAAAGTCATTCAGCAATTTAGTGCCTGAGCTAGAATTGGCATTGACTTCTGATTCCCAATTCAATCTTCTTTATCCTATTTTATATACCTTCCCAGAAGACAAAGTGAGTGTGTATTAGTTAACTAGAAGGAAGAAGGATCTACAATGCAAGCCCAAACTGGGCAACAACACAAAGAAACTACACACAACCCATGTGATGAATGCCTCTTTCTGACTTCTTCAATAATTTCCCTTCCCATACACAGAAAAATCTCTCTGGTGTTCTTGCTTGCATCTCCCTTTTCCTTGTGCTTTAGAATAGGTTAGATAATTTGATCAATTAAGTTGGTTCAAGATGCTAATGAATCCTCATGGCTTCATGTATCACCTTGTTTGCATTTTAACAAGGCCTGTCAACTCATCGTGTATGACTAATGATGAGAGCTTTAGACATCTCACATCTTGTGCAACCCATTTCAGGGGCATCCTGGTAATCTTCATGTCATATGGATTGACTACTAATATTATAGAATTATAAAAGCCTCCCTATCTATACATTTTATTTTGTGTGTTTGTTATGACTTTTTTTAAGTGAGCTTCCCTCCTAGTATGCATCTTGTAACTACATGATTACATCAATACATTATATTATTTCAGGTTTTATGTAGGGAAAATACTTGTTTAATTTTAGATCCCAGGCTAGCTAGCACAGAATCTCTGCATTAAACAGCCACAAAGAATTACATTTTTTAAAAAACCTCATGCTTCTTTTAGAAAATAATTTACCAATTCTTCTCAACTCTTTTTTCAAAATATTTCTGGATTTGTCCCTTTTTTTTTCATTCCAGCATTCATTCTGCTAGTCCAGGTCCTTCTAAGTCTAGACTACTTGATATGTCTCAGAATTGTCTCAGATATAAATATCCCCATTCTTCAATTCATCTAGCATTGTATGGCCCTCCTACTCAAATCTGTTCTATAATCTCTCAATTATAACTGTCTAGACCCTTAGCTGAAGTTCAAATCTTCATGCTTATATCCTATGCTGCTTACAACGTATCTCCACCTTATTGACCAAACTGCTTACCACCCCAAAAAAGCCATATTCCTGACTTAGTTCATACCATCAACCCTTCCCTCCCATTTATTTTCTCCTTGTCTGCTGAAACTTTAGCTTATCTTTCTAGGCAACCAGTCCTAGAGCCACCTTCAAAGTTTTCCCAGAAAACTAAGTCATCTTCAGTGCTTTCATTTCCCTTCTGCCAGCGTGAATTTGTCTGCACCATTTATTTTTGTTATTAAAGCTATGTTGCACTTCTTACTTGCGCTGGTCTCACTTTGCTTCAGAAGCATTACTTTTTTTTTTTTTTTTTTTTTTTAGCACATGCATGTTTATCTCTTTAGTTCTTCTGTGAGTCATACAGATGACTAGGTCCCATAGGAACACAGGAAAAAAAGCAACATGTTGCAGACAAACGTCAAAATTTTTAACTCACCAGAAAAACAAAAGAACAATTCCTGAGAACAATGATTATCCACATGCCTAACACTAGTGCAAGCTTTCTAGAAATTCTTATTGAACTAAGATCATTTAAACTAGACTAGTTTACAAAGCAGAGTAGACTAGCAAGGGTATTATCAAGAAGCAAAAGGCTTTAGTTTTTTTTATCCTACAGCAATTTCTAGAAAATATATAGATAGTAACAGGTCATAAAAAGACTAATCAAAAATATATCATCTAAATTGAGATCATTGTGAGTGTAAAAGGAGAACCAAAAGGAACTAAAATTATGTATTTATTTTTCAACAAACTAGTTTTATTATATTGGTGAACCTGTACAATAGTCAGTCACATCCAAAAACATTACAAAAATACAATTTTTTTAAATAACATACATCTATAGGCCTTAATGTAATATAGAAAGATGTTTTCATTGAATATTTAAACATTAACAATTATATAAACAGAATAATTATTTTTGGTATTATAAGGGAGAAAAGGGGATATGTTTTCCCCACTCATCACAAGGTTTATGGCATACACCCCTATAACAAAAGAAAGATTAACAGGAGGAAAGCATAACACAGTCATGTAATCAAAGTTTTATGTGACATGGAAGCCTTCAGAAATGAAGATCCAAAGACCCAGGGAAAACTGCATTTTTATTGTTAGTCTGAGGAAAGAAGTGGATAGTCATGAGGAAGCATGATTAGACAAAGGGGGCTATGATCTAATCATGACAATAACCTGGGGAGAACTCAGCAAGGCCTGTTTGTTCAGATCCTCCTTGGCCTTGCTTTGTAGCACTCCCCTCCCCTGGTACAGGGCAGCAACCCTCTAGAATGATAACCTTTTGACTGACTTTCAGGAGAGGTAGGTCAGAGAATTCCTTTATGGCCAGGCTTCACACAGAAAGGTGAGGGAAGGTCAGAGTGAACTTCTTGCTTCTGTGACTTCTGTCAATGTGCTGTATTTTGAGATATCACATTCTGAGCCTTGACAGTATAAATTCCCATTTTTAAATCGCATAATTTCATGAATTACTTACCTGTAGCCCTTTAATACAATGTCATTGGTATGTTTCCCAGATATGGTCTCATTTTCATTTTTTTCATAAAATTATGTACAGTATTATTCTAAGTTGCATTTGATGGCTAACAATTTTAAAATTGTGACACCTTTAATTAAATCTTTTCTTTAGATTATATTATTTTTAGCCAAGAAGCCAAAAAAAAAATTTTTATATGTGCAGTAAGTTCAGAGCAAATTCTGCTAAGTGAAGATATTCTTAACTGTAAATATTTTGTGTGTGTTGATATATATATATATATTTCACCCCAAATGTTTTCAGAGATATTCACTTTTGGTGTCCTGTTAAGGTATATTCTTCAACAAATATTTTTGCATGAAAAAAGTATATCAAATATATATATATATATATATATATATATATATATATATATATATATATATATGTATAATTTGTTGAATGTTTTACCAACTTCAGGTCCTGCAAAATCATTGGCACTGTCAGTTGCATTGCATCCAGAACATAATTTGTCCAATTAAATATTAGAACTCCAATAACATAGTGCTTCTACCAGTCAACATACTTCAATGTGAAATTACAGAATTTCAGAATTACAGCTTACATGCCGTTAAAACTACTATTGTTTCATTTGCTCACTTCTTCTATTGCTTTTATGGGGATAAATGTCAGTGTCTTTCTGTTTCCAAGAATTGTGATTTAATAAAATATTTAAAAGATGGAATCTTTTAGCAATGATGTTTATCATATATTTTTATTAAGGGTTTTATATTGATTCTGAAAGAAAATGAACCCCAAATCTAAAGGACTCATGAAAGGTTCAATATCATTGTAGGACTCTTCAGTTGAATTACACAATAGTTCTTTAAAGGAAAGATATTTCTGAAATATTTTTCAGATTGATGATGGGCAAGAAAGAGAGAAAATGCTTATTGCCATGCTGAAGTATTGCTGCATTTTCAATCTCATCTTCATGCCCTCAACTTTGTAGTAGTTATTCTAACTCTGTTTACAAATATGTGTATGTGGGTTTGAAATTTAACAACTCCAGCTTCTATTTCAAGTTATAGAACATTACAGCTTGTTTGTATGCAATTAGGAATTATGTATGCACTACAACCAATTTTAGGAATATTTCTGCCCTAAAGATTTCTTGATTTTATAAAGACATTGTTTTTACCAAAACACCATTCTTCACAAAATTTATACTATTACCACTGCAAAAACAAAAATTTGATTTTCTATGTTAAACTTTTAAACTAAATTTACAAGTGTTCATTAACGTGTCAAATATGTCACTTTTAAGAGAATAAAATTCCTAAAAACTTTAATTTCATGAAATATATGAAAATTATTAGTATTATTAGAAGTATCTTAATCTATTATTGTTCTCTAAATAGGATCTGATTATGTTAATGTAATCTGATTTGTGTAGTGTCTTTCTGCCAAAAATAGTTAACACATAACAGCTATTGCTTAACCTGGAGAACATGTTAAAAACAAACTTGAGGTTTTGCTGGCAAGATGGCCGAATAGGAACAGCTCCAGTCTGCAGCTCCCAGTGAGATCAATGCAGAAGGTGGGTGATTTCTGCATTTCCAGCTGAGGTACATGGTTCATCTCATTGGGACTGGATGGACAGTGGGTGCAGCCCACAGAGGGTGAGCCGAAGCAGGGTGGGCATCACCTCACCTGGGAAACCCAAGGAGTCAGGGGATTTCCCTACCCTAGCCAAGGGAAGCCGTGAGGGCCTGTGCCATGAGGAATGGTGGACTCTGGCTCAGACACTGCGTTTTTCCAATGGTCTTCGCAACTCGCAGACCAGGAGACTCCCTCCAGTACATATGCCACCAGGGCACTGGGTTTCAAGCACAAAACTGGGCAGCCATTTGGGCAGACAATTAGCTAGCTGCAAGAGTTTTTTTCATACCCCACTGGCACCTGGAATGCCAGTGAAAGAGAACCATTTACTCCCCTGGAAAGGGGGCTGAAGCCAGGGAGCCAAGTGGTCTGGCTCGGCAGGTCCCACTCCCATGGAGCTCAGCAAGCTAACATCCACTGGCTTGAAATTCTTACTGCCAGCACAGCAGTCTGAGGTCGACCTGGGACACTCGAGCTTGGTGAAGGGAAGGGTGTCCGCCATTGTGAGGCTTGAGTAGGTGGTTTTACCCTCACAGTGTAAACAAAGCCACCAGGAAGTTCAAACTGGGTGGAGCTCACCACAGCTCAGCAAGGCTGCTGCTGCCAGACTACCTCTCTAGATTCCTCCTCTCTGGGCAGGGCATCTCTGAGAGAAAGGCAGGAGTCCCAGTCAGGAACTTACAGATAAAACCTCCAGCTCCCTGGGACAGAGCACCTGGGGGAAGGGGCGGCTGTGGGTGCAGCTTCAGCAGACTTAAACATCCCTGTCAGACAGCTCTGAAGAGAGCAGCAGATCTCCCAGCACAGTGTTCGAGTTCTAATATGGGTCAGACTGCCTCCTCAAGTGGGTCCCTGACCCCGGTGTATTCTGACTGGGAGACACCTCCCAGTAGGGGCCGAAAGACACCTCATACAGGAGACCTCTGGCTGGCATCTGGGACAAAGCTTCCAGAGGAAGGAAAAGGCAGCAATCTTTGCTGGTCTTCAGCCTCCACTGATGATACCCAGGCAAACAGGGTCTGGAGTGGACCTCCAGCAAACTCCAGCAGACCTGCAGCAGAGGGGCCTGTTAGAAGGAAAACTAACAAACAGAAAGGAATAGTATCAACATCAACAAAAAGGACGTCCACTCAGAGGCCCCATCCGAAGGTCACTGACTTCAAAGACCAAAGGTAGATAAATCCACGAAGATGGGGAGAAATCAGCATAAAAAGCTAAAAATTCCAAAAATCAGAATGCCTCTTCTCCTACAAAGGATCACAACTCCTCACTAGCAAGGGAACAAAACTGGACAGAGAATGAGTTTGATGAATGGACAGAAATAGGCTTCAGAAGGTGGGTAATAAAAAACTTCTCCAAGCTAAAGGATCATGTTCTAACCCAATGCAAGGAAGCTAAGAACCTTGAAAAAAGGTTAGACGAATTGCTAACTAGAATAACCAGTTTAGAGAAGAGCATAAATGACCTGACGGAGCTGAAAAACAGCACAAGAACTTCGTGGAGCATATACAAGTATCAATAGCCAAATTGATCAAGTGGAAGAAAGGATATCAGAGATTGAAGATCAACGTAATGAAATAAAGCAAGAAGGCAAGATTAGGGAAAAAAGAATGAAAAGAAATGAACAAACCTACAAGAAATATGGGACTATGTGAAAAGACCAAATCTACATTTGATTGGTGTACCTGAAAGTGACGGGGAGAATGGAACCAAGAATGGAACACTCCTCAGGATGTTATCCAGGAGAACTTCGCCAACCTAGCAAGACAGGGCAACATTCAGATTCAGGAAATACAGAGAACACCACAAAGCTGCTCCCTGAGAAGAGTAACCCCAAGACACATAATCGTCAGATTCACCAAGGTTGAAATGAAGGAAAAAATGTTAAGGGCAGCCAGAGAGAAAGGTCAGGTTACCCACAAAGGGGAAGCCCATCTGACTAACTAAGTGGATCTCTCAGGAGAAACTCTACAAGCCAGAAGAGAGTGGGGACCAATATTCAACATTGTTAAAAGAATTTTCAACCCAGAATCTCATATCCAGCCAAACTAAGCTTCATAAGCAAAGGAGAAATAAAATCCTTTACAGACAAGCAAATGCTGAGAGATTTTGTCACCACCAGGCCTGCCTTACAAGAGCTCCTGAAGGAAGCACTAAACATGGAAAGGAACAACTGGGACCAGTCACTGCAAAAACATACCAAATTGTAAAGACCATCGACACTATAAAGAAACTGCATCAACTAAGGGACAAAATAACCAGTTAGCATCAACATGACAGGATAAAATTCACACATAACAATATTAACCTTAAATGTAAAGGGCTAAATGCCCCAATTAAAAGACACAGACTGGCAAATTGGATGATGAGTCAAGACCCATCAGTGGTGCTGTATTCAGGAGACCCATCTCATGTGCAAAGACACACATAGGTTCAAAATAAAGAGATGGAGGAAGATTTACCAAGCAAATGGAAAGAAAAAAAAAAAAAAGCAGGGGTTGCAATCCTAGTCTCTGATAAAACAGACTTTAAACCAACAAAGATCAAAAGAGACAAAGAAGGGCATTGCATAATGGTAAAGGGATCAATTCAACAAGAAGAGCTAACTATCCTAAATGTATATGCACCCAGATTCAGAAAGCAAGTTGTTAGAGACCTACAAAGAGACTTAGACTCTTACACAATAATATTGGGAGACTTTGACACCCCATTGTCAATAATAGATCAATGAGACAGAAAATTAACAAGTATATTCAGGACTTGAACTCAGCTCTGGACCAAGCGGACCTAATAGACATCTACAGAATTTGCCACCCCAAATCAACAGAATATACATTCTTTTCAGCACCACATCGCACTTATTCTAAAATTGACCACATAATTGGAAGTAAAACACTCCTCAGAAAATGCACAAGCATGGAGATCTAAACAAACAGTCCTAGACCACAGTGCAATCAAATTAGAACTGAGGATTAAGAAACTCACTCAAAACTGCACAACTACATGGAAACTTATCAACCTGCTCCTGAATATCTACTGTCTAAATTACAAAATTAAGACAGAAATAAATAAATTTTTGAAATGAATGAGAACAAAGACACAACATAAGAATCTCTGGGACATAGCTAAAGCAGTGTTTAGAGGGACATTTATAGCACTAAAGGCCTATTAGAGAAAGCAGGAAAGATCTAAAATCGACACTTTAACATCACAACTAAAAGAACTATGGAAGCAAGGCAAAAAATTTCAAAGGCTAGCAGAAGACAAGAAATAACTAAGATCAATGCAGAACTGAAGGAGGTAGAGACACCAAAAACCCTTCAAAAAATCAATGAATCCAGGAGCTGGTTTTTTGATTAACAGAACAGATGGACCGCTAGCCAGACTAATAAAGAAGAAAAGAGAGAAGAATCAAATAGATGCAATAAAAAATGATAAACGGGATATCACCACTGATCTCACAGAAATACAAACTACCATCAGAGAATACTATAAACAACTCTACACAAATAAACTAGAAAATCTAGAAGAAATGGATAAATTCCTGGACACATACACCCTCCCAAGACTAAACCAGGAGGAAGTCAAATTTCTTAATAGACCAATAACAAGTTCTGAAATTCAGGCAGCAATTAATAGCCTACCAACCAAAAAAAGTCCAGGACCAGATGGATTCACAGCCGAATTCTACCAGAGTTACAAAAGGGAGCTGGTACTGTTCCTTCTGAAACTATTCCAAACAATAGAAAAAGAAGGAATCCTCCCTAACTCATTTTATGAGGTCAGCATCCTCCTGATGCCAAAACCGGGCAGAGACACAACAAAAAAAGAAAATCTCAAGCCAATAACCCTGATGAACATCGATGCGAAAATCCTCAATAAAATACTGGCAAACCGAATCCAGCAGCACATCAAAAACTTATCCACCACGATCAAGTTGGCTTTTTCCCTGGGATGCAAGGCTGGTTCAACATATGCAAATCAATAAATGTAATCCATCACCTAAACAGAACGTATGACAAAAACCACATGATTATCTCATAGATGCAGAAAAGGCCTTCAAAGAAATTCAATACCCCTTCATGCCAAAAACTGTCAATAAACTGGGTATTGATGGAACATATCTCAAAATAATAATAGTTATTTATGACAAACCCACAGCTAATATCATACTGGATGGGCAAAAACTGGAAGCATTCCCTTTGAAAACCGGCACAAGACAAGGATGCCCTCTCTCACCATCCCTATTCAATGTAGTATTGTAGTATTGGAAGTTCTGGCCTGGGCAATCAGGCAAGAGAAAGAAATAAAGGATATTCAAATAGGACAACAGGAAGTTAAATTTTCTCTGTTTGCAGATGACTTGATTGTGTATTAAGAAAACCCCATTGTCTCAGCCCAAAGTCTCCTTAAGCTGATGAGCAACTTCAGTAAAGTCTCAGGATGGAAAATCAATGTGCAAACATCACAAGCATTTTTATACCCCAATAACAGACAAACAGAGCCAAATCATGAGTGAACTCCCATTCACAATTGCTACAAAGAGGATAAAATACCTAGGAATACAATTTTCAAGGGATATGAAGGACCTCTTCAAGGAGAACTACAAACCACTGCCCAAAGAAATAAGAGGACACAAACAAATGGAAAAACATTCCATGCTCATGGACAAGAATCAATATTGTGAAAATGCCCAAAATAATGTATAGATTCAATGCTATCCCCATCAAGCTACCATTGACTTACTTCACAGAACTGGAAAAAACTACTTTAAATTTCATATGGTACCAAAAAAGAGCCCGCATAGCCAAGACAATCCTAAGCAAAAAGAACAAAGCTGGAGGCATCATGCTACCTGACTTCAAACTATACTACAAGTCTACAGTAACCAAAACAGCATGGTACTCTTACCAAAACAGATATATAGACAAATGGAACAAAACAGAGGCTTCAGAAATAACACCACACATCTACAACCCTGATTTTTTACAAACCTGACAAAAACATGCAATGGGGAAAGGATTCCCTATTTCATAAATGGTGTTGAGAAAACTGGCTAGCCATATGCAGAAAACTGAAACTGGATCCTTTCCTTACACCTTATGCAGAAATTAACTCAAGGTGGATTAAAGACTTAAATGTAAGACCTAAAACCACAGAAACCCTAGTTAGAAAACCTAGACAATACCATTCAGGACATAGACATGGGCAAAGACTTCATGACTAAAACACCAAAAGCAATGGCAACAAAAGCCAAAATTGACAAATGGAATGTAATTAAACTAAAGAGCTTCTGCACAGCAAAAGAGACTGTCATCAGAGTGAACAGGTAACCTACAGAATGGGAGAAATTTTTTGCAATCTATCCATCTGACAAAGGGCTAATATCCAGAATCTACAAAAAACTCAAACAAATTTACAAGAAAAAAATCAAGCAACCTCATCAAAAAGTGGGAGAAGGATATGAACAGACAATTCTCAAAAGAAGACATTTATGTGGCCAACAAACATATGGGGAAAAAATCTCATCATCACTGATCATTAGACAAATGCAAATCAAAACCACAATGAGATACCATCTCACACCAGTTAGAATGGCGATCATTAAAAAGTCAGGAAACAACAGATGCTAAAGAGGATGTGGAGAAATAGGAATGCTTTTACACTGTTGGTGGGAGTGTACATTAGTTCAACCATTGTGGAAGACAGTGTGGCAATTCCTCAAGGATCTAGAACTAGAAATACCATTTGACCCAACAATCCCATTACTGGGTATATACCCAAAGATTATAAATCATTCTACTATAAAGACATGCACATGTATGTTTATTGCAGCACTGTTCACAATAGCAAAGACTTGGAGCCAACCCAAATACCCATCAGTGATAGACTGGATAAAGAAAATGTGGCACATATACACCATATACAACATGGAATACTATGCAGCCATAAAAAGGGATGAGTTCATGTCTTTGCAGGCACATGGATGAAGCTGGAAACCATCATTCTCAGCAAACTCACATAGTAACAGAAAGCAAAACACCACATATTCTCAAACATAAGTAGGAGTTGCAGAATGAGAACACATGGACACAGGGAGGGGAACGTTACACACCAGGGCCTGTCGGGGGCTTGGAGGCCGGGGGAGGGATAGCATTAGGAGAAATACCTAATGGAGATGACAGGTTGATGGGTGCAGCAAACCACCATGTCACATGTATATCTATGTAACAAACCTGCACCTTCTGCACATGTACCCCAGAACTTAAAGTATAATAATAAAAATTATAATAATAAAAAAACTTGAAAATAAGCAAAAACCCATTTAGTAACTGATCTAAATGAAAGTAGAGCTTCTTAGAATTATACTTAGATATCTTCTAAATTTTCACATTTTAAGTCATCTTTGGGTGCAATCTCCTTAAAATAGCTACTAGAAAATGTTATTATTAATCTTTTGTGAAACAAATTCAGCCCTTAATTTTTAATTGAATGTAGATTTTTTTTAGTTCATGTCTGCTAACAAGTGTTGGTTGAAAAATTAAAATGTTACCAAACAAGATATGAGTTGACAATTCTGAAACTATTAAGTACTTTACATGTATACTAGACTTGAACAAAGAAATCTATTGCGGATAATGACAGCTAAGTTTCTCACTTTCTGAGATGTTACAAATAAGCAAATGAGAGCTAGAATGAACTCTACTAATATTATTGGATTTTCAACTCAAAGAGGAAAAAAAATCCATGAATCCATAAAAGTACAAATAAATGATTGAATACATAAATAGGGAAGGAGGAAAAAAGTGTTACCAACATAGGTGTCAATTTTAAAGCCACTGTGCAATCACATTCAGATTATTCTCTACACTTTATGGCTGCCTGCTGAGCCTCCATTTCCCACACAAATTTCAAATACACCTAACCTGTAATTTCCCTTGTTTCCTACTGACTCCAGCAACCTGAGGTCTGGGAGCTCTGTGGATCTTCCAAACTATGGTAGGGCTACAGCACAACTGTGTGGTACACCATGTGACTGGCAAGAACAGCAGCATGAAATACATTCCTCCTTGTAGCTGGTGACCAAAAGTTTGCTTTCTCTAGCTGCACTTGTTACCACACACTGTTTTATCATTGAATGCTCTGCAGGTTGTCCTTGAATAGAAGGTGTAAGTTGCATTATTCATGAAAAGACTTGGGAAAAGACAGATTGTTGATGACTGATTTTGTGAATTAACCCCATGTTGAATGAAAACTAACTCACTGCACATACATACCACACACTACTAGATGAAACTGGTAGAAGCTAGAAGTACACAGTAGAGGGTTACCAAACCTATTCTGGTTTATTTTAAATTTAATTTAATAGCTTGGTAAAAAAATCTGGGAAAAATACTAGCCAGAAAAGCCCAGGGAAAATACTAACCAGATTGGAAGGTGGGACAATGGGTAGAAGCCAAAACTGTTTTAAGCGGACTAGAATGTGTTGTCACCTTAGTTATAGATTGGAGACTGAGTTTGTTCCATAGATGAATTGTTTATCTTTATAAAAATGTTAATGCCTTTAGCCAGGAGTATTTACTTTCAAATTTGCCATATCTTCTTACACCACAAAATGATTTCATTAATTTATTTGAGTGGATTGAACATCTTTATAATATTTCCACTCATAATCATGGTGAATTTCATCAATTATTTAGGTGTGATGAAGAAAAGCACACTTAACAGATGTCAGCTAGTGACTGGTTGGTGACAGCTAGATGGCAGTGAATATAATGTTACAGAACCCCATCAGCTGAGGTCATTGAGACTGTGATGGAGGGAGGCAAAAATAATGCCGTTACCTAATGACATAGATCAACACATGCAAATCACAAAAGTAACCAAACATCCCCTTTCCCAGCTAACATGTGTGTGTGTTACTTCTTTGCAAGTTGCAGACTTAGCCTCTGTTCCTCATACCTTAGACAAAAATTGTTAAGATCACCAGTGACCCCCCGACTCCCACCTCTGCTTTCTGACATCATCCAGAGAAAATTGTCACTTCTTTATGCCCTCCCCCAAGTCATTTAATACAAGCTGGAGTTTCAATTTAAAAGAACTGTCATATACATTTTCTTCTTACTGAGATGCCCCCATTCTTCCCCATGGCATGCAGTTTTCCTTGCTGAGTCAAATAATCTTTAAAATTGACAACAGGTCAGTTTGCCAGTTTGACAACAGGTCTGTTATCCTAATGGTCTTTGACTTTTGGACAGTGATACGGGACTTCTGTGTCCTTAAATAATGCCTCGAACCTTGGGATTGTTATGGGTCGGATTATGTCCCCCAACAGGTATGCATAAGTCATAACCCTTAGGACCTCAGAATATGACGTTATTTGGAACCAGGGTCATTACAGATGTAATTAATTAAGATGAGGTTGCGCTGGAGTAGGCTGGGCCTCTAATCCAATATGACAGGGGTCTATATAAGAGGAAGGCCATGTGAAGACATGGAGACAAAGTGAGAAAGAACACCAGGGGAAGGTGGAGGGAGAAGTTGGCATAATGCATGTATAAGCAAGGAACACCTGGGGCTATGAGAAACTGAAAGAGGCAAGGAAGGATCCTCCCCTAGAGGATTTGGAGGGATTATAGCCCTGCTCCCATCTTGATTTCTGACTTCTAGTCTCCAGATCTTTGAGACAATACATTTGTGTTGTTTTAAGCCACGCAGTTAATGCTATTTTATTAAGGTAGTCCCAGGAAATGAAAACAGGGCTTACTTACATATTTTTACACAGTTTTTTCCTTGGTATATTGTAATTTTTGTTGCTATTACAATTAGTATAATTTTCTATTATAAATTTTAATTAATTATTGGTTTATTTTTATATATTTAATATATTAAAATTGTATATTTTAATATACAATTAAAACATATATATTCATTTTGATTTTTATATATTAATTTTATACCTAGTCATTTTGTTCAATTTTATTATGATTTCTAATAGTTTAGAGATTATCATATAGCTTCTTTATTGATAAACATGCTCTAAATAATTAACATTTCTTTTTTTTAGCAGTTCTTATGTATTTATTATTTTTCTGGTAGCTTTGCCTTAGCTAAGAACTAGTACAATGATGGATAATGATGAGTCATGGGTAATGATGGGCAACATTTTTTTATTCATTACTAATGGAAATGTTTAAGTTTTACTGTTTATAAATTCCTTTTCTCAGAAAAGTGTTCGTTTGTCAACGTGTAAATTGCATTGCAGTATCTTCTGAGGTTGAATTATTCTCGAATTCTTGTGATGAGTCCTCCTTGGTTACAATGTATTTATTAACACTGATGGATTTGATTTACAAAAGTTATATTTAGGATTTTTGCACCTGTGCTACTACATGAGATTGTCTATAATTTGGGATTTTCTTGAATTCTGTGTCAGGTCTTATTTTCAAAGCAATATTAGTTTCCCAAAATTAATTTGTTAACCTACTCCCTAAATCTATTATGTACAACTCCTTATATAAGATAGGATTTGATGGTTAAGAAAATGATCCTGTAAAATTGCCTGAGCTTACAAATTTTTTTTTGAGGGAGGAATTTTAAACTGATAGTTCCATTTAACAAAAAATATGTATTGCATTATTTAGTTCTTTTCTTCTTAAGTTACTTTGGTAATTGACATTGACAGCTTTCCAATTTATTGGCAAAAATTTGTCCTCAGAACCTGCCATTGATTTGTAAAATCTCTGCTGTATTTATGACCATGTTCTCCTCCTCTTGATGTTCATGTTTCTTTGTGCTATTTCTTGATACTACCTACCCTATAGGGTGGCTGTGAAAATTAAACGAATTAACGTAATATAAAGCATTCACCTCAGTGCCTTGATAAAGAATTATTTTATTAGTCTTTTAAAGAAACATTCTGTTGCTCTTGTATGTTTTTTTATTTCATTATTGTCTGCTCTTGTTTTTTTCTATTCCTTTATTTACTTTCTTTAAAATCTATTTCTCTTTTAATAGCTTCTGTAGCCAATTTGTTTTAATATCTGTTGTTATTAATAGAAATGCATTTTATCTAAAATTTCTTTCTAACCAGTGCTTTATCAGCATCCTATTAGATTTGATATATAACAGTTTTATGTTGTTTATTGTAAATTTGGATTAATAGGGCAGGCAGGGCGTGGAGGGTAGTCAAGAAATATGGTCTTAGTTTACATAGCACAAAAAAGGGCCAACAGAAATGGCTTCCCGCCTAAAGGGATGTGTGTGTTTGTGTGTGTGGGTGTGGGTGTGTGTGCACTTGCACACGCACACATGCACACAGGATTGAAAAAGAGAGAGTGCAAGCATATGTGCATGAGAGGGTGGATACGAGTGTGTGAGGAAACAACCAGAAAATAAGACAGTTTACTCAGGAATCATTAATGGCTGTTTCATTAGCAAGCAAAGACTGAGAGAGTACCGTTTCAGTAAGACAGAAATTAAGGACAAGAGGGGTAGCAGCAAAATGGTTCAAGAAAAATGCACTCCAGTCTGGGCGATAGAGTGATAGAGTGAGACTTTGTCTCAAAAAAAAAAAAAAAAAAAAAAGATCAAGAAAAAATGGCATACATGTTGAGAAATCTAGATATAGGCTTGGTGGTCCTGTTCCAGTCCCTGATACCCCTTAGGAGTCAACTCAGTGACCACTGCATATTTCTGAGCCTGAAGCCAAACAGGCATGTAGCCTTAGCCCTTGATTTTTCTGAGTTTCTGTTCAATTTCAGATGCATGGAGACTTTTATCTCTTTATTTAAAAAATATAGGCCTTATTAAATATATATATGTATAATTTATATATATATTCATATATATGAACTCTCAGATGTATATTAAATATATATGTATATTTTATATATATTCATATATATAGGAACTCTCAGAGGTATCTGGACTCCAATACACTATATATGCTTAATGCATACTTAAGATTCATTTCTAGAGTAGAACATAGAGGAATGTTCTGGATTGGGTACATTTCCTTTTTAAAATGTTCGCACATGAAAAGAGTTAATTTTAATGTGATTATTACACGTTGCATGTCTATCAAAACATCTCATGTATATGAATATATACACCTATGTGTACCCACAAATACAAATTTTAACTTTTTTTTTGTAGCTGTGAGGGCCTTGTTGGGCTGAGCCTGGTTAAGGGAAGCAGGGCTTCAAGCCCCCTCCTTTCATTTGGGCATTGTTGAGTTGACAGCTAGGAGCATTACCAAGTGATAGAAATTGTTATTTTCTTTTCTTGTGCAACCTGTGAGGTTGAACTCAAGTGAATAAAGTCCACCAATTCCACTTCTGAGTATATATCCCAAGGAAATAACATGACTGTCTCTAAGATAACTGCAATCCCATGTTCACTGCAGCATTATTCACAGTAGCCACGATATGGAAACAACCTATATATCCATCAACAGATGACAGATAAAATAAATTGAATAGATAAATATTATTAATCCATATAAAAGAATATCCTATTTACTACAACATGGATGTAGTAAGTAGGATATCTACCATTACCTAGCATAATCTAGAGGACATTATGCTAAGTGAAAGAAGCCAAACAGCATTTGTATTTGTACTTTTCTTTACAAATACTTGATGATCTCATTAATACATGGAATATAAAAAAGTCAAGCTCATAGAAAGAGAGGGCAGAAGAGTGGTTATCAGGGGTCAGAGATGGGGAAAAATGGGAAATGTTGATCAAAGGGTATAAACTTAGAGTTATAAGACGAATGAGTTCTGAGACCTAATGTACAGTGTGGTTGCTATAGTAATAATAATGCATTATATGTGAAATTTGCTAAGAGAGTAGATCTTAAGCATTCTCACCACAAAACCAGGTAACCATGTGGTGTGGATATGTTAATTACCTTGATTGTGATAATCATTTAACAATGTATACATTTATCAAAACATCATGTTGTACACCTTGAAATACAAATATTATTTGTTAATTATATCTCAGTAAAGCTGAAAAAAATAGTGGCAATACCAAATGCTGGTGAGGATTTGGAGAAACTGGATCATTCAAACATTGTTGGTGAGAATGCAAAATGGTACAGCCACTATGGGAAATCATTTGACATTTTCCTTTAAAAAATGAAACATGCAATTACCATATGAGTCAGAAATTCCACTCTGGGGCATTTATTCCAGAGAAATAAAGACATATGTTCAAATAAAAACCTGTTCAGGAATATTTATAGTAGCTTTATTAATAGTAGCCTCAAAATATAAGCAACAAAAAGTGAATGGCTTCACTAACTGAGGTAGCTCCATACCAGGGAATACTACTCAGAAGTGAAAAGGAACTGACTATTGATATACACAACAACTTTATAGATCACACTCTGTGTATTATTCATAATTTATGTAGCATTGCTGAAATGAAGACGTGATAGATATGAGGAACACTTAGTGGTTCCCAGGGGTTAAGGAAAGGATCAAGCTGAGAAGGATGTGGGGGTGACCATGATAGGGAAACCTGAGAGAGCCTTGTAGTGATAGAAATGTTCTGCATTTTGGTTACATCAATGTCAGTATCCTACTTGTGATATTATACAATAGTTTTGCAAGATGTTACCATTGTGAAAAACTGGATGAAGGGTATATGGGATCTCATGATACTATTTCTTAAAACTATAATTGAATCTATAATTATCTCAAAATTAAAAAGTTTAATTACAAATAAAGCTAAAAAGTCTGCATCAGAGCATATCAGGTAGCTCTCTTCCCAAAGAGGGCTACAGCCTGGGAAACTCAAAGCGGAATGTTGAAAAGGTAACATAGTAGCAATACACATTGAGTGCTTGCTCTGCATCAAGGCCTCGCAGGTCAGTGGTCTGAATGCTCAAAATAACCTTATGAATATATTATTGTCCTCATGATATGGATGGAGAAACTAATGGCAGCTCAGACAGTGCAGTTACACCAGGCCTGAACCAGAGGATAAATTTAATAGTGCCTAAACCTGAGCTAAAGCTCTTTTTCCACCAAATAACCTTCCCATATGGCAAATGTGATTTCCCACACATTAAAGGATAGTAGTGAAAAAAGGCTTTAAAAATCCACTAGGCAGAAATACTCTTTTCTCCTTCACTGTAGCTCATCCTCCCACATTCTAGTCATTGACTCCTTTATCCAACACGTTTTACCCATTCCTCATGTTAATGAGAATACACACATCAGCCTGCAGGAAACGGTATTTGTTCCCTGGCAAATTTAGAGGTTCGTGAAAACCAAACAAGAAGAAAATCCAGAGGGAATGGTGAGACCAAAAGGCTCAATTTCCTTTAATCACACTTCTGACTCTTTTTTGGTCCTTTAGCAGATGGACTTGGGTTTATTTAGGGGATTGTTGAAATCCCTAAAAGATGGGTGCCGTTGGGGTAGAGTTATCCACAGGGACAAAGCTTAGAGCAAAACAAATGTCTTACTTCCTAGGAACTGAAAATGTCAACAGGATAAGCTTAAAAATCAATCTGCTCATTCGCAGAAAGGATCAGAAAAAGTGTAAAGTGATCACAGATGCTCAATTTTCAGAGCAGACATGGTGTGGATTGAAAGAAGAAAAAGTACTCTTGCTAACCACCCAGATTCACTTTTCTCTAGACTGAGGAAGCAGTGTTTGTGAGAAGGCAAGGCTAATACGTATTTCTCAAGGAAAAACTGAAAAATTCACTTGTTTGGCATAAAGGTCGAAAGAATACAACAATACTAATAAGAGCAATTGAAAATATATGTCAGGAGTGCTTCGCATATCAGGAAGTAGCTGTTTATATAACATCTCATTTAATCCTTGCAATACTCTATGTGAGGTACATATTATTACTCCTATTTTGTGGACATATAATTAATGTTCAGGGAAGCTAGTAAACAAGAGTCTGAACTTCAAATCCTATCTGGACTTTTTGTGTTATTATGATTGCCATTCATCAGGGTTTTTCAACGTCAGTACAAGTGACATTTTTGGCCATATAATTCTTTGTGGAGAAGGATTGTTCTATGCATTGTAGGATATCTACTATCATCTTTGTGTTTTGTTAAGACATTTATGGTACTATGAAGAGATGGTAGTACTTCCACACTTGTGACAACCAAAAACACCTTCAAACATTGCCAAATAACTCCTAGAAGTAAAATTACCCACGGTTTAGAGCCATTTCCTGTATCAAACTATTACAAAAAAGAATTATTGTTGGTAAAGATTAAACCTGCCCAGAATTATAGGCAGATTTGAGGTTTATAGATATTACAGGTTTTGTCTGGCATAGAAAAAGAAGGACATATCAGTCATACTCAATAAGAATCCAGGCACTTGCTAAAGCCACTCACAAGAAAGCAACTTTGGACCAAGAATATCTACTGGGCTGTTTGGAGAGGTTATAGTCACACAAAAAAAGCCATGGCTCTATCCTCATCATGTAGGAGGAAATAATGTGATATAGCAGCAAAATAATAGGATTTGAAGTTTGATGAACCTGGGTTTGAACATATGTAGATGTTTTATTTATAGTCCTGTTTGAGTGATCTTGGCAATAATTACTTACACCTGCCAAGCTTTGATTTCTTCATCTATAAATATGAAAACTTTACTCTTTTTCATGTTTCAAGTTCTTAGAGGCTTACATACAAACATGAGCGTATGTGATATACAGTATAGAAATTGGCACAAGTGCAAGCAATTGTTCCATCTATATTAATATAAACTGACTTATGACCAAGAATATTTATAAACTTGCATCTGTATGTTATAACCCCAAATATTAAGACTGATATTCTCATTAGATGTTATGTAACAAAACTTAACAAAAGTCTGAATCTGAACTGCTGTGTGTACAAGCAAAATTGGCCACATTCTTCTAAGTGACAAATGGTTCTGTAAGCAGAATTCACAAGAGACAATTTTGACTTTGAGAACAGTGGGCAGTAATGGGGTGTCACCGACAACTTGGGAAAGAGGCATCAAAGTTGGCTTTTGAGAGTTAAAGTGTAAAATCACAATGGGTCAGAGCATAGATGACCAAACATTTTATACAGCAAATGACTCCCAGGCAATCAAGACAAAAAACATAACCTGATTAAATATACTGGAAAGTCTAGAGATAAATAGCATGTCCTATCTTCAGGAAGTAGGGTGAGAATTTGTGGGCCAGAAGAAGCACAAAAGGAGAATCATTTTTGTAGTGCCACATGTCTTGGGAGAGAAGACTTGACTCCAGCAAACTCCAGGAGTTTTGGACTTATTAGCAAGGCTATCTCCAGAGAGGGATGCATAAAGCCATATTAGCATAATTCTTCCAACATTTCATTTATTCATTTGATAAATATTTATTGTATTCCTACTATGTATTGTTACTGAAATGCCAGCAGTTTGGTCTAGGTCCTGTTGCTCACTGCATGGAAAGCCAATCACTGAGATGATGAGTATCACCAGGGAAGAAAGCTTTAATTGGGTCCTGTAGCCAAGGAGATGGGAGATCAATCTCTAATTTGTCTCCCTGCCTGGCTAAAAACAGGGTTTTATATAGCAGGCAAGAAATGTAACAATGTGTGGGAAGGCAGGAATTAGGGAGGGGTAAGGAAGAGGAATTGGTCAGCAGAAAGCAGGTGATAGGACAGGGAGTCATGATAGGTGAGAGGCCTAGCATCACCTTGTCCAGGTGTCATGATCTGGTAAGTTTCCTTGATACATCAGGAGACTTGATGGTTGGTTTCCTGAGAAAAGAACTCAGATAAGACAAACGTAACTTTCTCAGGTTTTAAGACTGGGAGGATCAATTTCTACATTAAGGTTTAATTTCTAGAAAAACTCTAATTTTATCCCTTAGAATCAGCCCTTACAATCTCACATGCCCACCTTTTCCACAATAGTCTGTGGGCCTAGAGGGATTGAATAGTTTTAATTTTTGGCCTGTGTTTTACAAAAGCAGTTCATTTTAATTATCATCTTCTCCTGGTTCTAAAGAGGAGGCTTTGACTACTATCAAGGCTCAAGATTTAGCAGGAGTCAGTACCTCTTTTACAGTCAGAACTCTGTCACTTAACAGCACAAGGATTAGTTAACAGGACATTTATACACCAGAAAGTCCTATCATTTTTCTCTAACATGTCACAAAACACTGATTTAGTGTCTAATCAGCACATGAACCATTGTATTAAAGTGGTCAGGTTACTTCTTGCACATATCTAATTGCTAGCATTCCGCTGACAGAACTGTGACCAAACACATTAAAAACATGGGATAGGGCCTATATCAAACTTATCAAAGTAAGACAATTAACTTTTCTCTCCATCAAAAAAAAAAAAAAGGTAAATGCAAACATCAGTTTTGGAAATTCAGTATGAGGATAAATAACCTCCTTTCACTTAAATACTGTACAACAGGGGCAAAGTAAGAACAAGCACACAATGATGTCTTTTCAGCTATTTTAAAAGAGCATCATCACACACTTCCAAAATAGATTGGCTTCTAGATGTAGTACTGACAACTGATTAGGCAACTTTCACCATTAGAATCTTCAAACAAGTGCTACACTTGTACATATTTTATTTTCAAGTATGCATATGAAAGCCTAACAGTAATAAAAGGCTTGGGATCAAAAATTATGAGAAAGTCTCACTTTCAAAAATTACTACTTAATCCAAGTGAATTTCACTTAATTTTAATAATGGTAAACACAACTAAAGTAGTTTGAGAGATATCCTAGTCAATATAATTTCCTTAAGGACAAGTCTAATAATTTCTGAACATTAAAACTTTGTACCCATATCACAGTTTTTCTTCATTACTTGAAGGAAAAGATCTGAAACCACTCAAGTTATGAATTCAATTAAATTATCTTGGAAATAAGCACTACTTAAACATTTCTACTCTTAGCTACCTTTCCAAATAACAAAATAATAATGTACTATTTCTGCTCAAAACTTATAAAAATAAGTCTTTTATTTTATTTTATTGCCAGGAAACTTAAAGCTATTATAGGTCTCTAGATCATCAGAGGTAACAAAATCCAATCAGATTTGAGATGGCTGTTGCGCTCTATCAACTTTTGCAGGTTTGACAAAGGTAGCTTAGGAACTTTAGATAAATAGAGCAAATAGTGAACTTTGGAAATGCATCTGGCTATTCATAGACCCAAATACAAGCCTGTCATTAGAAACTAAAAAACACCAATGGTATTATATGTTTATATATGAGTAAAGCCCAAAGGAGAACAAACGGCAAAGAAATGAAATCAGTATTGTGAAAATGGCCATACTGCCCAAAGTAATTTATAGATTCAATGCTATTCCCATCAAACTACCATTGACATTCTTCACATAATTAGAAAAAACTATTTTAAATTTCATATGGAATCAAAAGAAGACCTCGCATAGCCAAGATAATCCTAAGCAAAAAGAACAAAGCTGGAGGGATCATGCTACCTGACTTCAAACTATACTACAAGGCTATGTAACCAAAACAGTGTGGTACTAGTACCAAAACAGACATATAGACCAATGGAGCAGAACAGAGACCTCAGAAATAACACCACAGATCTACAACAATTTGATCTTCAACAAACCTGACAAGAACGAGCAATGGGTAAAGGTTCTTCTATTCAGTAAATTGTGCTGGGAAAACTGGCTAGCCATATGCAGAAAACTGAAACTGGACCACTTCCTTACACTTTGTACAAAAATTAACTCGAGATGGATTAAAGACTTAAATGTAAAACCCAAAATCATAAAAACCCTAGATGAAAACCTACGCAATAGCATTCAGGACATAGGCGTGGGCAAAGACTTCATGACTAAAACACCAAAAGCAATTGCAATAAAAGCCAAAATTGTCAAATTGCATCTACTTAAACTAAAGAGCTTCTGCACAGCAAGAGAAAATGTCAGAGTGAACAGGCAACCTACACAACGGGAGAAAATGTTTGCAATCTATCTATCTGACAAAGGTCTAATATCCAGAATTAACAAGGAACTTAAACATATTTACAAGGAAAAAACCCCATCAAAAACTGGGCAAAGGATATGAACAGACACTTCTCAAAAGAAGATATTTATGTGGCCAAAAAACATATGAAAAAAAGTTCATTATCACTGATCAACAGAGAAATGCAAATCAAAACCACAATGAGATACCATCTCAAGCCAGTTAGAATGGTGATTATTAAAAAATCAGGAAACAATAGATGCTGGAGAGGCTGTGGAGAAATAGGAATGCTTTTACACTGTTAGTGGGAATGTAAATTATTTCAGCCATTGTGGAAGACAGTATGGCAGTTCCTCAAGGATCTAGAACCAGAAATACCATTTGACCCAGCAATCTTATTGCTGGGTATATACCCAAAGGATTATAAATCATTCTACTATAAAGACACGTGCACACATATGTTTATTGCAGCACTATTTACAATGACAAAACATGGAACCAACCAAAATGTCCATCGATGATATACTGGATAAAGAAAATATGGTACATGTACACCATGGAATACTATGCAGCCATATAAAAAGGAATGAGATCATGTCTTTGCAGGGACATGGATGAAGCTGGTAGCCATCATCCTCAGCAAACTAATACAAGAACAGAAAACCAAACACTGCATGTTCTTACTCATAAATAGGAGTTGAACATTGAGAACACATGGACACAGAGAGGGGAACAACACACACCAGGGCCTGTTGAGGGGTTGGGGGAGAGAGGAGGGAACTTAGAGGATGACTCAATACGTACAGTAAACCACCATGGCACACATATACCTATGGAACAAACCTGCATGTTTTGCACATGTATCCTGTTTTTTTTAAGAAATGAATAATAATAATAATAAATAACCACAATATTATTTCACCTGAAAAAAAGGAAATTAAAAGCAAAAACAAATATATGGGAAACCAACCTCCAATTTTTCTCCTACTCAGTTTACCTTGGAGGCTACAGCATTAACCAGACCCTACAAATACATATGATGAATATTTTGTTCCTGATACATGAATTCAGGTTTTTAAGTCCACCAACATCACTATGCATTTTGTACAATTAAGAAATTTACTTCAGGTGTGTGACCAGTAAGTATTTGAGTGCTAGTACTATTTATGCACAATAATAAATACAGTGTGAAAGAAAGCAGTGCAAGCATTTATGTGAAATTTGGCTCCATGCTAAAACTGGCATCATGATTAGCTATATTAAAAAATAATTGCTAAACTGCCAATGTATTTCTTTACAACTTTTCATATTTTACCTTCATTAAGATGAAGAGCTTTAACTATAAGCAATGTTAATTAGCCAAGTTTCTCCAATTTTCTGTCAGGTTTTAAAGAATATTTGATAATCTAAAATTTTTCAACTTTCTATTTTTCTCCATATGTACGTAAGGATAGACACACAGAGAATCAGAAAAAAAAAAACCCTGCCTATGACTTACACAGACCATCTATGACATGCATGGACTTTCTGTTTTGTCCTACATTTTCTCTTTTTAAAATAACCAGTTCATTTTAGTTTAGGACAAAAATTAACCATACAAGATTTTTTTCTCATAAAAATATCTTTTCTTTATAACCTTTCTTACCCAAATACATCTTTATATCCTTAACTAGAAAGTCACCATTTTGCAACCATGATGGTAATAATTGATTAAGGCAAGAATCATCAATGGATGCTAAGACTAGAAGTTGGGAGTTTAATGAGAAGTAGGGTATATATGTCGTCTCAAAGTATCTTCTCATCAATTATTTATTAATTGCAAAGGAAAAAGTGATAACTTTACAGGGAGAAAACTTGGAGGACATTACTTTAACAAAATGATCAGAGATGATGTATACCAATAATGGGACAAGCCAATGCTTTGTGCCACCTGATGAAGATTCACTGATGAGAACATAACATCACTTATGTACTCCTACCAGACATGCAAAGCCCAAATCTCATCATGAAGAAAGCCTCATCCTACCAAAAAAAGGTCCTGTATTCTTTAAAAAGTCAATGTCATGAATGACAAATACAGTTTGAGGAACAATTCTAGATTAAAAGAAGCATGACAGGTAAATGTAGTCATGATCCTGGATTGGATCCCTGACCAGAAAAACAAAATTACTACAAAGAATATTATTGGAAAAATGGTGAAATTTTCTTAATAATGTAAAATAGATAATGGTATTGTATCATGTTATATTTTCTGATTTTGATGACATCATTGATACAATATTATGATTATGCTGACGAATTTTTCTTGGTCTGGGGAAATCCACAGAGAAGTAAAGAAGTAAAAGGGCCTGAGGTCCCTAATCTACTCTCAGTGGTTCTGGAAAATCCATGAATGACAGAAAGAGAGAAAGTGATAAAGTGTAACAAAATGTAAGCAGTTGGTGAATCTGGATAAAGGGTATATAGAAGTTTTTTGTACTATTCATGCACATTTTCTATAATTATGAAATTACTTCAAAATAAAAGTTTAAAAAATTATTGAGAACCAATGTATAGTAGTTGGAATGCTGAGGGAAGATCTTGCCCAGGGGCGTAATGACTCAAAAACCAGAGAAGGAATGTTTTAAGGAGGAGGATGCCAAGTTGCTGAAAGATCAAGCGAGGGTGGACTAAGAATTGGCCATGGGATTTAACAACATGGAGTCCTAATTGGAGTGGGTTCAAGAGAGAATGGAAGGCTGGGGAGACTGCAGAGACAGCAATATAGACAACTTTTCAGAGTTTGTCAGGAAGAGAGCAGAACCATGGAGCTATTGGTGAAGAGAGATAGGTAATCAAAAAGCATATTGTTGACTATTGGATTATTATGGTATATTTCCACACTATAACTGCTCATGGTCCGATTTCTGCTTACCAAGAACCCTTCTAATATGTATTTAGCTTGCATGGAGGTCTACATGCAAGAAATTTGAGTATTTTGGTTTCATTGTAGATATTATTCATTGTAAAATAGCAAATTGTTATTCTAATTTTATATGTGAGCTGATAAATATGATTATGTCCCTCAGCTATACATAAAATCAAATCATGTTTCTGCTGCACACAGAGCTTTTGGGGGTCAAGTAGAGGGATGTGTCTAATTTTGCCATGTTCTTTTAGAAGTGCATTGAAACTTTCAAAGGTACAGTAAGTTGGCTACATAAATTCTATAACATTAGAGTCAGTTCTACTTGTTCTGCAACAGTGTAAAAACAACTTTTCAAGAAAAAAAAGACAACTACCACCTACTGTAATTACACCTCAGTAATTGTGACTCTTAAACACTTTCACCATAACAAGCTTATATCTGAGCATACAAGTTCACTGGTCACTCTTTGCACCATGGGGAAATCACTGGGATAATGAATGTCTCTTTGTGAAGCCTCTTGTGAGACAATCTGCCTGCTTTTTCTTTTGGCAGCACCAGTCCAACTTCACTTTGAGGCTAGGATTTCAGAATGATTTTTCCACTGTAGCCATGTGATGTTTGCAATATCTTGCAAAACCTTACTTGAAAATATTTTAGTAAAAATTTTGACAGAAGCCTCAATGTTTTGTTTTTTTCTTTTATTTAACCAAGGAAAACCTTCATCGATACCATTATAAATTCACTTTGTATAATTTTAATGTGCTTGTCTTACTGGATTATTAATTTTAGAATGATATAGTCATTTAAAAGAAAAAAATGTAAGTAAATTTAGAATAATTTACATAATTGCTACCTATTCATTGAGAATTTACCAACTGCAAAGAAGATACTGTAAGCTTTAAGGTATATCATTATTAGAAAAAAATCCTATGGTTTAGGTTGTTATTATCACATTACAAGAAATGAGACGATTGTGGCTTAACTTGAAGCAACTGAAGCACAATTTGAAATGAGCTGGCCCCAACTGCTTTTTCCACTCTGCACATTGCTTCTCTACCATAATAATTTGCCTATCCACAGCTGTATCTAATCTGATTTTACTTCCTTACTCTTGCTCCTTGTGAATATCCACTGAGATTTTTACATTCCAGGAGAGAGAGCCTAAGATTCTAATACATTCAATTTACAAATGGTCTTTAAACTTGAATCTAAAGAAATTTGAGAGAAAAGAAATTCAAATGGTTTAATCAGAGGACTATATCGAAAAGGAAATCAAAACTAAGATAAAATCTCCATGTTGAGTGATATCTTCCACTGACCACTTGCCTTCTCAGCAATATTGAATTAATCGTGCTATGCTGCAGGTGCAGATGTGTTAGACATTTATTTGTGGTATCTACCTAATTTTCAGGAAACAGTCTATAATTAGAAAGTATTAGCATTCTGTACACTATGCAAAGCAGATAAGATCCTAATGTACCTTTTCATTTGGGAAAATAATGGCTAGAAATATAGTTACTGAAAATGAATGGTGGCCTAGAATCATATTCATTTTCCCCTTTGTTAATAGTAGTTAAGCTCCATAGTCACAGTATATTAACTTGTGCGTTTTCAGCTTCTCTGCTGGGGATAACAAAACTCAAAAGATTCTCTGCTTCAATTAGCAAATTTTATTTTTATAAAATGGAAAATGTTTGACAATTTTTGTCTTACAATTAACTCTTGATGGGGAGACACAAAGTTACTTGTAGACTTACCTAAGCAATGATTTTTATTCAAAAATGTCCCAATGTACTACTTTTTTTGTGAGAAGAACTTAATAACAAGAAGCATCATAGTGAAAAAAATTAAAGAAAGAAATGCATTTATTACTGGACCAAAGAAAATTCAGCTGATCTAAAATGAAGTTATTATTGCCATACATATGATTTTGTTTGTATTTGGTCAAATCTGTATATATTTCAATTTAAGTGACAAATGAATCTTATGAAGGAGGTTTTTATATAAAAGCAAAATAAGAATTAATGATTATTAAAACAGTAAGACAGTTTCTATCTGACTTTAAGGTACAAACATGCAAACATGATAAACTAAGGTAGACTTTTGTTGACTTTTGTAAATTCTTTTTTTCTGCTCAGTGTTTTAAACAATACCTTCATCATTTGAAAGTATTAATGTAGCTTTCAAAGATGACTGAATTACATCCAGGAAAAGATATACATTGAAAATGTCAAAATCTGAATTATGTAAAATATAAAATCTACATAGTTTACATGTTTTCTCATTTGTAGCTAGTTAGCACAATCTAAATTTATGACTATAGCTTTATCATAGTTATCAATATAAACCAATTATTTAAAAATATTATAAAAACACAATATACAGTAAATAAATATTTTTTCATTAGAAAGTGTGGTCAATTATTTCAATTCCTCTCTCATATGCCATTCATAGTTCTAGGCACTTGGAATATGTAAGTGAGCCAAAGATAATGCTCCCTACTATCGTGGGGCTTACTTAAATTCCAATAGGAAGAGATAGGCAACTAAAAAAATATAACAAGGCTGGGTGTGGTGGCCTGTAATCCCAGCAATTTGGGAGGCCAAGGCAGGAGGATTGCTTGAGCCCAGGAGTTTGAGATCAGCCTGGGAGACCTGCTGAAACCCCATCTCTACAAAAAATTCAAAAATTAGACCAGCATGGTGGTGCACACCTATAGTCCCAGCTACTTGGGAGACTGAGGTAGAAGGTTGGATTGAGCCTGGGAGGTCAAGGCTTCAGTGAGCTGTGATTGCACCACTGTACTCCAGCAGGGAGAAATATATATATATATATCTCACTATATATGTATATATCTCACTATATATGTATATATCTCACTATATATATATATATATATATATGTAAACTTTATAATGTTCAAAAGCAATACATTCTATAGACCAAAATACAAATATAGCCCATAAGATGGATTATGATGGAAGGACAGTATTAACTTGGATGGCCAGATAAGGTCTTATTTAAAAGGTGCCATTGGAGCTTACTTGAAAAAGGTGATAGATTTCTGTCAACTCTTGGACTAAGAGCAGACTGGGTAGAGGGAACAGGTAGTACAAAGACCTGCAGGAAGAGGCATACTAGCATATCTGGGTATAATAAGGAGACCTACAGTGTTGGAGTGGAGTGAGAGAGGGAACAGCACTAGGTGATGAGATCAGAGATGTGCATTTTGAGGGATGGAGGCAGCATCATGGATGGACTATCATGATAATTAGACTCTTTGCTTCTTGTGACCTGGAAGCTATTACAAGATACTGAGCAGAAGGGTGAAATAATCCAACTTCCTTTTTAAGAGGATCACTGTGGTTCCTGTGTAGAGCATGGACCATAGGGATGCCAGGGCAGAGGCAGTGAGGTAAGTTAGGAGGCCCCACAGTGATCAGATGAGAGGTTACAGTAGTAGCATGGAGGGGTCAAAGTCATCCAATTCTGAATAGACTTTTTAATGAGCCTTGTGTTGCCCTATGAGGAACAAGTTAACAGAGGGTTGTAATTTTGTGAAAACAAAATATATGCAAGTGAAATGATTTTTAAAAATACAGTATAACTAATAAACCCTGAAATAGCATTAGTTTTGGGGGGGAGTATGTGCATGTGTGGTGGGGTGGAATAACCACTGAATGTCCACTGGGTTCTAGTTGTAGCTCTGTCATTAACTAGCTAAGTGATTTGAGGCAATAGTAACACAATGACCTCTCTTGGCCCCATTTTCTCATCATGTAAAATACTGAGTTTAGATCAATTGATTTCTAAGATGCCCACTATATTAAATGTTTTATAATACATGATCTAAGTTGACTCATATAACAGATATTTATTGATTATAGCCTATTAATAAGACATGGAGCTTATGGCTTTTATTAAAAATATGTGAAAGTGATGAAAATTTCAAGAACAAGGATAGTTAATAGGAATGTGTTCATGCAGAAAGTCACTAGACCCATTTAAGGGATTTTTACCAACTCTTTAGACTCATACGGTTATCTAACTAACATCTTAGAGTTGTATAGAAGTTTTGGTATTTTTCCAAAATATTATATGATGTGATGTTAACTTGATTAATTTTGGTATGATTCCTCAAAATCATGTATTCACAGATTTCAAATCGAATTTTGTATACCTACCAAAATCATCAAAATTTTATTAAAATTAGGCTTATATAAAACTAATTTATATACGGTTATATAAAACTAGCATCTTAGAGTTGTATAGAAGTTTCGATATTTTTCCAAAATATTATATGATATGATGTTAACTTGATTAATTTTGGTATGGTTCCTAAAAATCATGTATTCACAGATTTCAAATCAAATTTTGTATACATACCAAAATCATCAAAATCTTATTAAAATTAGGCTTATAAAAATATATTCATCTTAGAATATATTAATAACTTACTGTTTATGAAAAAACAAGTTTATATGCACTACCCACTAATCTATTAAAATTGCATGAAAATTACATAATTTGAAATTGTTTTCACAATTTACTTTGAAAAATATAAATATTCATTACCTCTGGATTTAACAAGTGAAATGTGGTAAACTGTTTAGCACTTCTCTAAAACTACATAACCATGTAGTATTATTTTTTCCAAATATCTTATGCTAAATAAACTATGTGTCAACTGGTAAAATACCTCACTTGTTAGCAATAATGGAGGAAGTGTACTTGTTCCATGTGTGACCAGTCCAAATTTTCAACTCCATTTCTGTTAATATGAAGATTCTAATATTTGTTAACATGCCTTGTTCTCCTTTCGTGAGCAAACACTTGAGTTCTTTTATATATGAACTCAAGAAACTCAGATTCTTACATCTTCATGAGATGTTCAGAAACTCTACATACTTTATATTTTTAATAATAGATTTCCCACACATTTTTTTCAATTGTTTTTATTTTACATAAAATGACACTACTTGCAGAAAAATCCCTAATTTTTGTATCTTCCTACTTTCTTTAAATTTAGTTCTTAGAAAACCATAAATGCTTTATTTGTACATGCAAATATGTGTCTAATTTATTTTGATATTTTTTCTAATGTGCTGAGATGGTTTGGATTTGTGTCTCTGCCCAAATCTCATGTCAAATTGTAATCCTCAGTGTTGGAGGGGGGACATAGTGGGAGGTGATTGGATCATGGGAGCAGATTTCCCTCTTGCTGTTCTTGTGATAGTGAGTGAGTTCTCATGAGATCTGGGTGTTTAAAAGTGTGTAGCACTTCCTCCTTTGATCTCTTCCTTCTTCTCCAGCCATGTAAGATGCACCTGCTTCCCCTTCACTTTCCGCCATTAGTGTTAAGTTTCCTGAGGCCTTCCCAGCCATGCTTCCTGTACAGCCTAAACAACTGTGAGTCAAATCTCTTTTCTTTATAAATTATCCCGTCTCAGGTAGTTGTTTATAGCAATAGGAAAATGGAATAATACATGCATATTAAAATTTTTCTAATGTGTAAAATTCGAATTTATAGGTGTATTAGTTTGTTCTCACACTGCTAATAAAGACATATCTGAAACTGCGCAATTTATAAAGGAAAGAGGTTTAATGGACTTACAGTTCCACATGGCTGGGAGGCCTAACAATCATGGTGGAAGGTGAAGGAGGAGCAAAGGCACATCTTACATGGCAGCAGGCAAAAGAGTGTGTGCAGGGGAACTGCCCTTTATAAAACCATCAGATCTCATGAGACTTACCCACTATCATGAGAACAGCATGGGAAAAATCTGCCCCCATGATTCAGTTACCTCCCACTGGGTCCTTCCCCTGGTAAGTGGGGATTATGGGCACTACAATTCAAGATGAGTTTTGGGTGGGGACATAGTCAAACCATATCAATAGGCTCTTGATTTTCAGTGTAGCTGGGCACACATAGAAAAATGTTTAGCTAGCAAGTTATCTAACACAGTACATTCTAGTTGCATTCTTATAGACCCAATATTACATCAAAAGTAGTTTTTAATTCCTCTTAAAAAAATCAAAAATTACTTGATTTTGAATAGCCTATGTGTAAAAATATGTATGTGTGCACATGTGTGTATGTGTATATATATGCGTGTATGTATATTTAGGATAACATATATTTCTTAGAACAAACTTTCTAATATTTCAAATTTTCACATGAAACAAGTAAAATGTAATGTAGTGATTTTATATTTTATTTTAATAAAAGTTTTCATTCTTAAAATAGAGTATAACAGTACTACATACTTGTTTATTTCTTGTGTCACTAAACTAAAATATAGAAATACCTCTTGTCTTCATGTTCTACTTATGAAAGCTGATATGTATCTATGTGCCAAGTTAATCTTTCAGTTGGTCTATATGAAATTTTAAAAGTAGGTGATGTATCAATAACAGGCTTTTATTTTGTCTTCACTAAAAACCTATGATTTTTTTTATCAATGTGGAAATTGATGTATTTTTATAATTATATATCATTATAAAACAAATAATTTTAAGAACTTTTACATGTATATGAGTAGAATTTATATGCATGAATAATATATGGAAGTCTGTGCTCACATGTTTGAATTAGAAAGCTATAAGACTTCCAAAAATAACCAGTCAATTCCCTTGAATACAAATGTGGCCCTACTTATATAGTGCCTTGAATATCTTTTGCAAAGGATATTTTAAATTTTTGTTAAATAATGAATTATTTTCAGTAATTTTCTCAAAATATCTAAAATAAGTCTTTCCTGATGCAGTTTGAATTATTTTTTTCTCCTCATTGTTAACTCCCACATTCTATAGGCTTTCTTTTAATTTAAAAACTCAAACAGCCCTGGCCTCAATAACCTGTGACCCCATAACAGTTAAATTTCTAGAAATAATTATGATAATTTTAAGCCTCTTCTTATTTATGCTGCAATTTTCCCTCCATAAGTTGTACATCCCTCGTCTTACAGAATTTCTCAGGGTGTTGCTCTGCGTGTGCTCAGAGAACAGTCCCCCATTTGCTACTTCTCTGGCCTCTTGCATAAATCTTCCACTCCTTGCCCTGCTACTTCTATGTAACTACTGATCCCCCAGGTACAAACTTCCCTGCAGAGATCAGTTGTGTGGCTCACACAACCAACACTCTGGCCTGATGAATGGGGCTGTAATGGGTCCTTATGGCATTTTTATCCTTCTGTTGCAGGCATGGTTCATGATTTTTCTTAATGCCCACAATGAATTAAATAAGACTATACTATATAAAACCATTTACTCAGGTTTAGAGTAACAGAGACTAAGTATCATTTTAAAATGCTATTACATGTAACAGGTCTATATTGGATTTAGCTATGGTCAGAGCCTGGAGGCCAAGATCGTCCCTAATTTTCTTTATTGGATGTCTCCCAGCCAGCTTCCAGTCTAACTGCAGCAGGGGCCATGAGGAGAGCTCTAAACATGTTTGTTCCTTGGTGCCTTGGAATTCCTAAGACTTAGAGGAAAAAACGGGGGGCCTCCTTTCTCTCTAACCTGTGGCTTTCCTTTTAAGTTCTCCATTGCTGACCTAAGATTGTTCTCTTCTCTGAATGATTGACATTGGGAAGGTCCATTGCCTTCAGAAAAATTCCAATATATAAACCATACATGTCTTTTCTTGTGCTGTAACTCTTGCTAGAAAAATTATTTCTATGCTTCATCATGCACATTAGTAAATCCCCACCAACTTAGTCTAAAAAAAAATCATGCAGGATAGCAACTGAGTAGCCCCATTGATTTCCTTTAGTCCAATACCGTTCATATTTGTGAAGCTCATGCTTGCCTATATTATCTGCAGTCTTCTGCTTTTTAGATTATGTTTACTATGAACAAATTTTTGACTGAGAACTATCTCTACAAGGACAAGCCATACAATAATTCCTTGATTCTAAGGCATCATGGAGTGAAAGCAAACCCTAAAATAAAGATTTAAATGCAAGTCATTTATTTTGGAAGTGATTTCAAGAAACACTGCTCGGAGACAGAATTGAGGCAAGGAAGGGAAGAAAGTCAAGAAAGAGTTTTTTTTTTCTTTTTTTTTTTTCTTCAATCAAGTTGCTGATGTGGAGAAATGGTCCTCAAAACCACTGGGGAAACTGGGTGACAGTATAAAACATATCCCAGAGTTATCCTTGCCAACAGGATTTACCCTAGCCATCCATTCTTAATTGCTGCTACTCTGGGATAATTGCTCCCAACACTTATAACTTGAAGGGCACAAAGAATGCTTCTGTGGCTGGATATGGTAAAAGTCCTCAGGCAGAGATGAGGTCTTTGCAGTAAACACTTCAATATGTACAAATGTGTGCCAATGGGCTAAGAGATGGACATTGACTGTGTCGCACCAACCAAATTTACTTGTGTCCCAAATTAAGGCTACTCAGTTTTGTCACTGATTCTCTAGGTAATTACTGGTCACAGTTTTCCATAAAAAAGACTTCTAGCAGGAAGATTCGTGGAACAAACATTTTATCCTATTGCAATTGGCCTGGAGACCATAATTGGTATTTACATTTTCTCCTTTACCACCCATTTTATTATCTTTTACCTTGGCCAGTTTTTTTATTAATCTAAGTAATTTTCTTTGTAAGGTAATCTAGACCTTTAGCTCTGAGGGGTCAGAGATCTTGGTTAAAGCTCCAGAGTCTAGTCATGGATGCCCTATTTCCCTGTTCATAGGAATGGGAAACATGAAAGTACCAAGAGGGGCAACAGTGAAGTGATTCCAATGGAATAGTTTTAGATATGTATTCTAGATATTCTGTTTTCAGGTCACATCATACGCTAGCAATTTTATCCTTCATGATCATCAGGGTCAACAACACTGATAGTCTGCCAACTCCTATCCCACTTACTGCTCTATTGGCACAAGGAGCCCAAAACTATTTAGTGAAATCCTTAATGTGTTTCCTCTGGAAGTATCCCTCTTCTGGGAACCAGACCTATTTTCTGCAAGTGGTTCACTGAGAGTGGGATGACAAGGTCACTCTTATTTCTACCCTTTTTTTTTCCCCAGACCACGTGTTCTACCTTTCAAAGACACAGTGCCATATAACAGCTGCTTCAAAATATAGACCACATATTGAAGGACAAGTCCAACCTCATAGGGTATCATCTTCAAGCAGGCATCATAGATGTACATTTAAAGATTATTGTGTTTTCATTCTGACTGTTTCAGGATGAGGTGGTAATAGTAAGAATAGAAGATTGCACAGTCATGTACTCACTATCTTATCTTTTCCACTATAACGTTGGTCCAGGGTAATGTTGCATAGGATTCCTTGATGGTAGATAAATCAGACACTTTGTGAATCCTTTTATGGTGGTGCTGGCTAAGACAATAAAGGTAAGAAAGACAAACTCGTATTCAGAAACTGCATTTATCTCAATAATTCTGAATCTCTATCCCTTTCAGGAAGGAAGTGGCTCAATGTCATCATCTTTCTTCCACGTGATTCCTTGGTCTCTGCTATGGTTTGACTCTTCCCTCAAAAACTCCTGTCGAAATGTAATTGCCAATGTAATTGTATTGGGAGGTGGGACTTTTAAGAGGTGATGAGGTCGTGGGGACTCTTCCTTATGAAAGGATTAATGCTTTAACTTGGTAATGGGTTAGTTAACATGGGAGTGGATTACTCATAAAAAGGTTATGTTTGGCTTCCTTGTTATGCTCACTCACATCCTCCTCTCTCTCATGTATTCTCACCACATGATGCCTTCTGCCACGCCCTTGCCAGATGCCAGTATCATGCACTTGAACTTTTTGGCCTCCAGAACTGTGAGCTGAATACACTTCTCTTCTTTATAAGTTATCTAGTCTGTGGTATTCTGTTATACCAGCAAAAAATGGACTAAGACAGTCTCGTTGAGGGAGGATTCTTTAGAGAATTCCATCTGGCAGGAATAGCCATGAAACACAAAGAACTGCAGATTCTGCTTGCATTTTCTTAGGGCCAGCCACGGACTTCTTTATCTGTATTTTTTCAGTCATTCTTTTTGTAGGCCTTCTGATCAAACAACCAACCACGCCATTCACAGATGTCCAAGTATACCCATACCTCACAAGATTGATGATCAGCTATACTGCTTAAAACTCTGCCCACTGAAATATTGTCTCTTGCCAATGTTTTCAGGACCACCCCTGAGTGGTGCTATGCTGCTGTGGTGCATTTGCAATTCAATTTTGATTGTCAGAGATGCAACCATCCAGCTCATCTGTGAAATAAGTTAGGTTTTGTTCCATCCCCTTCATTATCTAGTCTAGACAATCCTCAACAAAGCCACATTTGTGAGCTAATAGAGAAAGAGTTAGTTGCAACAGAGGTAGGTGACCTAGCGGTGTGGGCCACCTGTTCACATAACTTGCTTTTGCCTTTCTGACCTGATTAAATCTCATTACAAATATGCCATTTCTGTTGTCTGATGGATTGCTTCTGCACCCATCAATCTTATGAGCTGATGGGTCTGGCAATACCCAGCCCATGATAAGAAGCTCCAGTTATATAGTCACTCTACTGAAACATAGTCGCATGGTAAGGTCATTTTTTCAATGTTGACAATATGGTCTTGCTCCAGAAATCTAGGGGAATGCATTGTGATTTTGCTGTCAGGGTTTGCTAGCAAATCCATATGATGTTTTTATCCACCATGGGTAGCCCCTCTAGTAATGTAAGACCTTTCATGTCATGTGGCCAAATAGCAGGATTGTTTGTACTACAGTCTGTATCTGCTACAGAACCCTCTTGTGGCTCAATATAAATTACCAGGCTTCCAAATCACTTGATAAGTGGGTCAGGGCTACATTCCCAAATGTTTGATGTGTTGTCTCCAAAACTCAAAGTCAGCTAATATGCATCATGCCTCTTTCTTAGTTGTAGGTAATACAAGGTGCAAAAACTTGTTTGTTCTTTATGTGGCAGAAAGCAAGAGAATTAGCTTAGCCCTGAAGCAAAACCAAGAATATCTACTGCTGTTTATCTTAGGTGAATGTAGATTGCTTCAGAACCTCCTTCATGATAGGAATTGAAAAAAAAAAAACCACATTTACTAGGTCAATAGCCACACATCGTTTCACTTTCTGTGGTTTTAGTTACCCATGGTCATCCATGGTTCAAATATATTACATACAGTAAGTCATTTTGAGAAAGATACATCACATTCATATTTGGTTTATTATAATTTTTTTATTATTAGTTATTGCTGTTAATCTCTTACTGTGCCCAATTTATAAATTAAACTTTTTCAGCCAGGCGCGGTGGCTCATGCCTGTAATCCCAGCACTTTGGGAGGCCGAGGCAGGTGGATCACGAGGTTAGGAGATTGAGACCATCCTGGCTAACACAGTGAAACCCCGTCTCTACTAAAAATGCAAAATCAAAATTAGCCAGTCGTGGTGGCGGGCACTTGTAGTCCCAGCTACTCGGGAGGCTGAGGCGGGAGAATGGCGTGAACCTGGGAGGCAGAGCTTGCAGTAAGCAGAGATCATGCCGCTGCACTCCAACCTGGGCAACAGAGTGAGACTCCGTCTCAAACAACAACAACAACAACAACAAACAAAAACAAAAACAAAAAAACTTTATCATAAGTATGTATGTGTAGGAAAAAACATAGTGTATATAGGGATCAGTACTATCCATAATTTCAGGCATCCACTGGGCATCTTGGAACATATCCCCCGCTGGATAAAGGGGAACTACAGCATTTCCAGAGGCTGTGTTGATGTGTTCCAGTAAATATATTACATCTTGCAGAGCAGCTGCATTTGGGGCTACTATTTATTTAAGTTCTCAGCAGTTGGATCTCATCTGCCATGATTTATTTAGTTTTTCAAGGCACCAGACTGGTGAATTTCTCGGAAATATAATGGGGCCACTACTTCTGCATTACTTACAATCTTTATAGGAAACATGGATCTTGTATTTACTGAAGATGTGTTTTTGCTTCTGCTTTGTGATTTGGGCTGAGTATGGGGTTGTTTCAGGAGCTTTTTCTTGTTTGTTATTCTACCTATCGCTATAGCCTTTAATGTACAGATTAGGAAACCAATGTGTGGGGTTCTGCAAGCATTGATTATATCCATGCTGATTATACACTCAGAGATTGGACAAATAACCACTGAGAATGTTTATAGATTTCATTTATCACTAGGCCTCCCAAAGTTGAACTCTATCAGGGAGCCATGCGGGTCTTTTGAGTCCTCTAGCTATCAGTGTCAGGTCATTCCCTTTATCCAGAAACCCTTAAAATATCTGGGTGCAATCCCTCTGGTAAATGTCTGTATGTTTCTTTGGGGGTAAATTGGAGAATAAATGCCATGAATATTTATTCAGACATTTGTAGGTTTCTTCCTCAGACTACCTCACCTTCCCTTCAGTCAATGACCTTTGGGTTTGAGAGCCGATTTATGTCTAATAACTGGTCAAATAATCATGTTTTTCTACTCTATTGACTGACATTAGTATTTTCTTACATTCTTTGATGTTTTTTGGCGGCGATATAGAAGTTAAGCAATACATTTGTTAGAAGTCTATCTTCCCTCTCAAAACACTATGGTTTGTTTGTTATCACAGATATCTCATGGTTGGTTCCCCTTGGTAACATTATGGCTTTTCTGCCCATTATGGTAATTGGCTCCAACGATAAAGTGACGTTACTTGACTTGCATTATTGTAGAAGTCTATCATTTTCATTGACATCGTAGGGACCAGTTACTTAACTGTATCATCTATACTGACTGCAAATGATAGTCATTACGGAATTTCTCAACGTTATCAATTCCCCCTTACTAACCTATTTCTTATCATTTGAATAAAGGGAGTTTATTAGCCAAGGTTCTCCAGAGAAATAGAACCAATAGGTGATATTTATTACAGGAATTGGCTCGTACAACTGTAGAGTCCAAGAAATCCCATGATCAGCCATCACAAGCTGGAGAACCAGGAAAGCTGGTGGTGTAATTCAGTCCATGTTCTGAAGGCCTGAGAACCAGGGGAAGTGTTGGTTGTTAAATCCCAGTCTGAAGGCCTGAGAATGAGGAGCAAGATTCTGGAGAACAGGAGAAGATGAATATCCCCGCTTAAGCAAATGGGAAATTTGCCCTTCCACCTTTTTGTTCTATTCAGACCCACTGAATAGAGAGATTGGATGAATCCCACCTGCAATGGTGAGGGCAGATCTTCTGTACACAGTCTACTGATTCAAATGCTATTGTGTGTGTTTGCGTGTGTGTGTGAGAAACACCATCACAGACACACCAGAAATAATGTTTTGCTAGATATTTGGGCATCCCTTAGCGCAGTTGAGTTGACACATGAAATTAACCATTACAAGGGGTATTCCTTGGGCCCTCCTGGAGAAAACGTTCCCCTGTGTCTTACATAAATAATCCATTCTAGCTTACCCACCTCTCTGAGCCTTTGATCCCTTCCTCAATAGTTTGGCAGGGCAGTTCAGATATCTTCACATCAATTACCATCATTTGTCCTATGCTTGAAATAATCAACCCATCTGTCGTTTAGGTCTGGCTGTAGGTGACCTTACCAGAATGCTGAATCTTACCTCATATGAAAGTGCTTCTTTATCAGTGAACTCTCTTTATTCAACCTTTTATCTAGCAGCCTTGGGCTGTCACTCACAATATCCATTCCCAGGCATGTTCTCCCCATTCTTTCCAGAACATTCTGGCCAGATCTCAAAGCTGTTTTGGTGATAATCCTTTTCCTCCAATAACAGAGACTTTTTTTTTCTATCTGACTCTGCTGAGCCTTATCTCTAGTTATTTATCCAGAAGAACTGAGCAAAGATGGGGACAGATTTTCAGCAGGGGAGTCATAGTCTTGTGAGACATCTGCATCAGGTGAAACATTTACATGCTCTCCAACAAAAGGATAATGACATTCTTTAGTAAAGGAGAGGAGTCCTCGTCTGGCCAGCCCAATAATTTCAGGAGAATCTGCAGATTTATGCCTCTCAAATGTATTCACCCAAATGTTCTGATTTCAAGAACTCTCTCAGGACCCTAACTTTAGCAAAGGAAATTTGTAGGTGTTGGGGTTTTAATCTACTGCAGTTAGCAATAGCCAACATACTTTGCAATCCCTATATTACTGTAGATTCTATATCCTTTAAGACTAGAGGTTTTGCATAAGCCAGGAATTCCCCTCTAGCTGTATTCATCTCAATTCACCACACATGACAGCCTCAATAATTAAGGTGCTACAGCACATCAGGAGTCTTAACCACTCACTTACAGCCATCAGTGGTGCCCTTACTTGCCATCTGATTGATGAATGATTGAATTCAAGAGTATCATAATGAGAGTGTTTTCTCAACAAATTCCTGTACTAGCTATTTTAATCTTAGTTCCTCAAGAAGCAGCTCCTGAGACAAGGATTTGAGTGCAAGTAGCTAATTTTGCTGGTGATTTCAGGAAAAAAAGCAAGTTGGGAGAGTGATGAAGTGAGGCAGGGAAGGAAGTAATAAAGGGTGACTTAGCAAGCCAGCTACCACCATGGACAACTGGGGCTTAATTCTTTCCCCCATTAAAAGAAAGAAAACAACTTGGGAACTCTAGAAGACTGTGTAGAACACACCTCAGAGTTACCACAAAAAGACACAAGTGACCTGAGGCATTTATGTACTAGTTTCCTATCACTAGATGATGAAGTAAGTGTGTGTGTGTGTGTGTGTGTGTGTGTGTGTGTGTAAACATCACTCACTCCAGGGTTGCCCTGCATATAGTTCCAGTGTACAACCACAGCCAGAAAAAAAAAAGAAGTTATTGGGTAGAGAATTTGTAGGTTTCTAATAATTCCTATTATTGAAGCACTCTCTTCCCTTCACTTCTAAGGTGGCATACTCTACTGGGTTTGAGAGACCACCACCAAGGTCCAAATTTATTCTTCTAATCCAGTCTTTCATGTACCCTAGATATTTGCCTGTTAGATAGTTCTACTTAGAGTTCTCAAAAGAATTTGAAATTTAATATATCCAAAACTGAACTCATCATCTCTCCACCTTCTAAAATGGTTCCTCCTTCTGGATTCCCTGAATATACGATTTGCACCTCCACACCCATAGTCGCCTAAATCAGAAATCCAAGGTTACTCTAGCCTTGTCTCCCTCACTGTCTCTTCCTACATTTACCAGTCACTCAGAACCACCATTTTATCTTCTAAATATCTTTTTAATCCATATTTTTATCTCCCCCACCCACAATGTTATATTTCAGATCATCATTATTCTTAACTGGATTACTCTTACAAAGACATAATTTGTCTCTCTGCTCTCCACTGAAACTATTCTTCATAGTGTAGCCACTATAATGTTGCCAAGGGCAAATTTGATGAATTGTTTCTAGACTTAAAATCTGAAAGCCAATCCTACTGAGGTAGTGTTCAAGATCCTTTATGATCTGGCCCCCGCTTCTCCCTTTATCGTCAATTCTTGTCACTTCCACTTTTAGAGACTGGAGTTCAGCTCCTAAACTTCTTTCAGATCCTTCCTCTTCTCCAGACTTTCACTCAAATTGTTTCTCTGCCTGTTACCCTCCCTTTCTGCTACTCACTCTGCCTTGGCCTTGTAACTGCTAATAATACATTAGGTCCCAACTTAGACATTGTCTCCTAAAAGTCTTTACTCTTTGATTATCTTGAATGGCTTAATTGGCCACTTACATGCTCCTATTAGTAATCTTTACTTCCTTGTCAAAATTGATCACACTTCCTTGCAATCATTTTAACTCACTTCCTCTTATGTTAAACTATATGATCTGAAGGTCAGTGATCATGTCTTTCTTATTTGCATTAAAAATCTCAGCAACTAGCCATAGCTTCTTGGATATATTAGGCACTTAATAAATATCTGTTTATAAATAGGTTATTTTTTAACTCATTGAAAACTTAGTATGTACAACATCATGTATTTTATAAGATATTTTTCTTAGTCATTTCTGTTTCTTCAGTGCTTAGTACAGTACTTAACATGTAGAATGCACTTGATAAATGTTAACTGACTTGAGAAATTAGGATCTTATAACATTGATTGGTAATGATAGCAAACACTGCACATTACCAGTACTAGACAAAAATACTTAATGAGAAAATGTGTATGGTCATATTTGTGCTCAGGGTATATGTCATTTTCAGTTTGCTAATGGTATCCCTATTCATAATTACATATGCAATGTAATAATATACCATGCAAATTTTATTTCTAAGTGAATGCAGAATGAAGGAATACTTGTTAAATAATGACTGTGAATATTTCCCTAGTTTTGTTGGGGAAATAAATAATTCACATACTCAAACTAAAAAAAATTTGATGAATCTCCATAAAAGCAATGAAAATCATTACCATTCCGAGATTCAGTGGCGTATTTTAAGACAAGAGTTGAAGAGGCATCCTCAGGGAATTATCTTAGCAGGGAAACCAAAGAATTTCCCCTATAAAGTTTTCGCTCCATGGAGCTAAATATTAAATACCTTCATGGTTAGGAAATGTATTCTCCTTTCCACTAGCTAACTATTTCTCTGTGACTTGTATTATCATTTCCTAAATCTGTCATGACATGCTCCTTTAGATTGCAGCTCGAAGGTGCTTCTGTTGCTTTCCTTCTGCCTTGTAAGGAATATCTAATAACTTCCCACCAAATCCTTCATGTCTTAGTTTTCCATGCTGGAAAACATATGGTCTGTTTCATCCAAAGAGAGTTCTTGTCAGGCAATTGAGAGACCAGGATATCCTGTTTTAAACTGAGGTTATCTACTGGGAAATGATACTTTTTGAAAATATCTGTTATTCGGTGGCTTGTCATGGAAATAGTCATGAAATTTGATGAGAGAAAGAGAATATGGTAATAGAGATGCATTTTCTGTTTTCACCATCCTGTGGTTATTGCCATTCTTTCCCCCACTAAAAGAAAGAAAACAAATGATTTTTTGGAAAAGTTCTAAAATAGTACTGTACTAAAGGATTTCAACTGATAGATAAAGTTGTAAGGCTTGGAAACTGGGTGATTGGACAGGTGAGGGGAGTCAGTCCCCTCAACGGGTCATTTAAGAAAGTGAGCACATATTGGAAAGATGTATTTTTGTCATTTCGCATAAGGCAAAAATCCAGGAAGCTTGACTGAGCAACAGTGTCTGCAGTCAGATACAGTATAGTTCTTTCATTAACCTTTGATTGAATTCTGGAGATGGTCCAAGATCTCTTAATGGAGATCTGCGTGAAAACCTGATTCACATTTGTTGAATTTTCCATGTATTTCTAACTGCCAGATCTGGTATCAATGGAAGTGCTGTATATTAAAACCCCCAAAAGTATTTTCCATTGAGATCAGACAGTCACGAACACCTTGATCTTTTTGTCCAATTGTGTCAGATGCCCTGAGAAAAGCAAAATGGCATCCTTTTATGTTAAAACTACTATAGTAATTTTCTTCACGAAAACTAATAAAAATGTGTAGAATTCTCTAGTGTCCACATAGGGCATGTTTAAATGAGTCCCCTTATTTAAAGCTGCTAGACTAGCACACATACTACACAGAGATAATGAAGATTTTATTTGAGAAAAGAATACCAGTATTCTGGCAAAAAAGAAAAATGTTTTATACTATAGTATTTTGAAGAAAGTTCTAAATAAGTTTCTCTTTGATTTTAAATTCTTATAACCTGCAGAGTTTTATTTTACCATGATTAGATTGCCCTTTCATATATTCAGAGTCCTACTGCCCTCAAAAAGCACCTGGGCATATATCCAATGGTCTGTGGGTAACCTTGAATTTAGTAAGTGAATATTTTCAGAGAGTTTAATTCACTTCTAGGTATAATACAATACAAATGGTTAATGAGGTATTAACCATTGCATTAACCATAATTACTGTTTTAAGCAGTGCTTCAGTATTTGCTTTTTTGTTGTTCTTTTTTTCAGTACAATACCAGTACCTTTTCTTTTTTTCTGATACGTGTCTACTTATATACATGAAAGTTATAATTCTGCTAATTCAAATAGGTGTGAGCAATGTAGTCATAGGTCAAATTCCCGTATGACCCCTCCAACTAAAAAAATGTGTATTTCATTGTGTTCTACTCTAATGTGAATTGAGATGTGATAAGCCTTTTTTTTTTCATTTTCTGGTTCTAATTTTAACAGCAACACCTGTGCACATATTCACAAATCTCTGGCATCCCATTTAAAGTGCATATGTTAGAGACTGAAATTCAGTATAGAATAGAGAAGTAGTTAAGTGACAGGGATTGGAGAAATATAATTATTAAGAAAGTTATGTCAGCAGCTCAGTGCTCTTTCTTCAAAGTAAATCCACCACTAGTGAACATATGGGTTTTTTTTTCCTTCTAAGATACATTCACTAATTCTGGACTGTACTTAGACAATTCAGTACAAGTTATTGGCTAATAGCAGGAGCAGAAATATTCTTGGTAATTTAAAGCTATACATGCTAACTATTTCTATCTTCAAATATATAATTTACTTGCCATATGGAAACCTTTCATCAGCACATTGTATAGGACCGCAATAGATTTAATTTTAATTTTCTAAAGTCCTCTGAAATCATCTATTAAACTTAAAAGATTTACATTGGTATTTATGTGTTATATTTAATAATTCATTGTCAACTGGAAGATACTGATACATTTTTATCTGTATTCCAAACTTATCCCACAGGAAAGTTATTGAGGAAAATGTTATCTCACATCAACATTGTAGACTTAAACTGTCATACTCTTTACTTTCAAGGGAGATAGAAGAACCTATGAATATTTCATGGATTCTTTAATATAAAGTATCTGAGAATAATATTTTCTTCAGAATATTTGTTTGAATTGAACAAGAACAAAGATGAGATGCTTATCTACTTCTACAGCATATGTATACTTCAATGGAAGCTATAGTATAATCTACAAAGAGAGACTCTGCAAGAGGAAGACCTTCAATTTCTACACTGTCATACTTTTTTACTCTGAGGAGGCTATTCATTCCTTTAAATCTTATCTCAGAAAGATGTTCAAGCTCTCAAACATCTAGCTTTGCTTATCAGTTGAAATCCACACCATAATTGCAATAAAAATCAATGACACATTTATTTTACTTGAGGCTTATATGCTTGATATGCATCCTGAACGTCTTCCCTCATTTAATATTTTGGAGTATTACAACACAGTCTAGAAATGTGATTCATTTCAATCTAAGCATCCTGACAAGCTTGACCTCAGAATGATCCTGAAATTTACAAGCTAAATAAAATGATTATATTCTAATCTTGGGAATGGGACCAAAACTATATAGATGATGCAGAGGAAGGCAGATTACAGTTTCTTAGAAAATATGAGGCATGGAAAAATCAGGTTTTAGTGTGCTCACAATTATTGCTATTTGACATTGAAATTGCAGAGTCTATCATTGAATTTCAATGTAGGAGGTGCCATAGAGCTCATCTCAATATAATTGATTTTCTACTCATTTTTACCTCATTTTATGTTGTTCAGGCTAATAATAAATGAGTACCTACGAGGTATTTTTTCCTCCTGACATCAAATACATGGTGTTTTCCCAACACCACTTCTCAAACTCTGCAACACTCACTAGGTATCCAACAATTCAGTCCAATTTTTCCACTATCTGGAGTTAGTACAGGCTCCACAGTTTAAGGGCTCAGCCCCACAAGACTGCTCACTGACTTCATATGCCACTTGTAAGTCTAAGCCCACCTGGACTTCTGACTAACTGTCCATAAACCCAGAAGCTCTGTGAACTCCATTGCATAGGGTTTTTTCTGGAGGTAATCATTAGTAAGCATCATTAATAAAATCACAGGCATTGGTGATGAACTCAATCTCTAGCTCCTCTCTCCTCCCCAGAAGTTGGAGGGTTCAAAGCTTTGAATCCAGCCATGACCATTCTGGTGACTAGCCCCCATCCTGACACTATCTGGAGGCCCACCAAGAATGCCCTCATTAGAACAAAGGCTCTCTGTCTTCCTTGTCACCCAGGACATCACTGTTCTCCCCAATCCTTCTTCCACAGGCTTATCCTACTTTTCTTAAAGCCTTTTGATATCCTCCAAATATAGAAGAAATCCAAACTGGCTCCAGGAAAAAAATAAAAATAAACCCAAATTATCATTTGCTCAACCTCACTGGTAACACGTACTTGGAATAAAAACAGTAACATACATTGGAAAAGTTAAAAACAATGAAGGATGCTTTTGAAGGAATACACTTTATTCCTGTTGAAATTTTAATGTAGCATATAATTCTCTGGAGACACTGTGAGGCAGACATCGTCCAGATTTCAGATTTTTAAAAATATCACATTACAGCAGCCAAAATGCTGTTATTTTGGTAATTACTAGCACCTCTGTTTTCTAGGATAATGGAATACAATGTCACCCAGACCATGACCAGAGTCAGTGTTGCCCTCCCTGTAGGCCACCTATAGGGGAGGGTTTGCCCCAAACCACAGGTTTAAACAGTTTGGTCTCTTTAACAGTGTCTCAGTTGTGGTTTACACAACCATCTTCACTTATTATGATCTGTGTCCACCAAAGACGTTTTTAAATTTACCTAAAAGGTAAATTAATAATATGTCATTTCAAATCTAAATACATAAAAAATAAAGTGTCATTTCAAATTGTGCACCAGCATCTGATGTTCAATTAACATCATTATTCTCAATTAAATCAAGTCCCTGCAGCTATCCTCTTGTAAGTGAAATAGCACAATTCACCTAGATATCAGCAAAATAATTACATATTTTTGGCAATATACTAGCACCTTTTAGTCACTCCATTTGATTTTACCACTCATCTTTCTCTCAGATGATAATCAGTGGTGTTTCAAGATTATTATAATAAATGTACTGAAGTTGGGTGATAAGCAATCTTCTCAGGACTTAGCTCTTTAAATGTTTATGTATAGTAGATGCATAGTGATTGATCAAGATCTTTAATAATATGAAACGTGTTTATACCAATAAGAGTTACAAAAATAAACATGTGATACATAGAGAGGAGAATAACATGATAAAATTCAAGTTTAATATGCACTAGGGAGGAAAAGTTTCTCCAGTGTTCAGGCACATATATATATCAAAGACTCCCAGTAATTTAAAACTTTCTTCTCCAAGAAGCTACAACCAGCTACCAAACCTAAAAAGGCCAGTTATCAGAATCATAGTTCCAACCTGGGAAAGCCAGTATTTCCGCTAAAAGTATTTCTTTCATATTAGCAGAATTGGAGTAAAGGAGAGCTCCAAGTCAGAGATGATTTGAGATTTTCTGTAATACAAATCTCTTATAATACAAAAGATAAACTTCCCACTCCTTTATCTGAAGCCCATAAGATAATGCTAATATCAAAACAATATACCAAAAAGAAAAGATGTTGATGAAAATCCTAAATAAAATATTAGCAAGTAGAATCTAGCAGTACATTAAAAGAATAATTCACCATGGCCAAGTGGGGTTCAATCCAGGAATCCAAAACTGAATCAATATTTTAAAATGCATTAATAATACTCAGCATACTAATAAGTCAGAGGAGAAAAAAACAAATGGTGTCTTTAACATATGCCAATATGACATTTGAAAATTTTCCTTACCCATTCTTGATTCAAGAGGAAAATCTGTTAGAGAAATAAGAATAGATATAAATTTACTTCACGTGAAAAAATATTTATGACAACTAAAAGGATCATGGTGAAGACTGAAGCACTTGAAACATATTAATCAGAAATGTCATAGTGATGCCTACAATTACTGGTAATTTAAGACTAAAGAAGAAACATGTAACTTGTTGGTTAAATGGGAAAATATCAGTATTTTATCCACTTATTCCACAAACATTGATTGAGGGCCTGTCAATGCCAGTCATATATTAAGGTATTATATACAATGGTAATTATTAGATACAGTTGACTCTTGAACGACATGGATTTGAACCTCATGGGCCCGCTTATACACACATTTTTTTCAACCAAACAACGATGGAAAATACAATATTCAGGCATGCAAAACCTGTGAATACGGATGGCCAACGTTTCCTATAGGCAGGTTCAACAGGCTAACTTCAGGACTTGAGCATGAGTGGATTTTGGTGTATACAGGCGGTCCTGCAACCAATCCCCTGTGTATTCCCAGGGAAGACTGTACTGCCATGCAAAGATGAACTGGCTGCCCTCATGGAGTTAACATTCAAGGGTGGTAGCTTATTTACAGATTATGTTACAAGTGCATATCTGGAGGGAAAAAACACAACAGATTTTGTATTTTTTAAATTTAGTTGGGTACAAGTTAAATATTAACCTGCAAAAGTTAATAATCAGAAAAGATGACTGAATGAAAATATTCCAAAGAAATAACAAAAACTCATAGAAATATACAAAAAAATAAATACACAGCACCTATTCTTAAAAATGATAAAACATAAGTGTGAGAATTGTATCTTTAAACGGGAGAGACAATCTTTATTGTACAGAAAGACTCAATGCTGTAATGATATAAATCATTAGTCTATACAGTAAATTAAATCTCAATGTGAATCACAACATAGCTTTTTTAAAAACTTCATACATTTTATCTAGATCTATAAATATCTGAGACTTATATGGAAAATGGTGTATGGAAGAATAATCAGGAGGAAATATTCATATCAGATTTTAAATTGTTTTTATAAAGCTACAGTAATTAAAATAATCTACCAGTAAGAGAAAAGATAATCCAATGCTACAAAATAATGAATCAATAAATTAAAATATTTATTGGAATTCACTGTATGATGAAAATGGCATTTCAAATCAGTGGGGAAATGATAATTATTCAATCACTGATGTTTTGAATAGTTATATAGTCATTCAAAAAATTAGAGTTGGATATCTACCTCAAACTTAACACCAGAATAAATTTCAGATAATTAAAGGTTTAGATGTTTAAAAAAAATACAATCATAGATGTATTGGGATGAGATGCAACTGATAACATGAAAATCTTGGCTTAAGGGAGCTTTTACAAGCCTGACATAAAATCTAGAAGTCCTAAAGAAAAGAATGGATACATTTTTACTATATACCATTTTCTTAATTGACAAATAAATATATACATATAGTGTTCACCATGTTGTTTTGAAATATGTGTATATTTCAGAGTGACCAAGTTGAGCTAATTTGCACATGCATTATCTCACATATTATTTTTGTGTCATGAGGGCATATCTTTTTTTATGGTGAGTAAAATCTACACTTTTAGAGATTTTCAAGTATATAATACCTGAATTACTATAATTTGACTTGGTATGGGATGTAGATGTGTAAATTCATAGAGACAGTTGTACAGTGCTATACATCAGACTGTTAGCAGTTTTTATCCTAGGGAATTGGATTCAGAGGAGGAGGACTGAGCAGGGAGAAGAGAGTATTATATGTTCTACTTTATATCCTTTTGTAATGTCTCATTTTTTAATATATAGGGAGCAATAATTATTTTTATTATTAAAAACTACCTACAAAGACTTAAAAATTATTTCCTAAAAAGAAATCTGGAAACAGAACTCTGTTTTCCATGTTTTCTAAGTCTCTTTGAGAAATTTTTTTTTTTCATTTATCCTGGCATGCTGAATTTCTAGCCAAAGTTAACTTTATGAACAAGTTAATAATCTACATTTTGAATTATTTATATGCACTTTGAAGCTTTAAGGCAGGGAGGACAGCTTCATGTTTTCCTCCCCTTCAGATCATAATCCTCCTTCTGACACCATGGTCTTCTCCATATTAATGAGGTCCATAGAGTGGAAAGAATGTTAGATTTCAGGTTCAGGGTGTGCTATCCCCTCTTATCTGTTACCTTTCACATGTTAACCATGAAGGGCAAAAGAAGTGAATTAAACTGACAAATATGTAGTATTCTGGGCCTTAAAGGCAACATAGCACAGGAAAACAAATTTCTGTAGATATTTTAGGAAGGATTCTTGATGAAAGATTTTTTTCCAATTTTGGCCTAGATCGAGGGATAGTCTTCACCCCTACCACCTCTGCCTCCCAGGCTTAGAGTCAGATTTGATCCTTGGGGAGACCTGGGATTTGATTCCAGATCTTTCAGTGGACCATCTTTGGTCCTGGTTCCTACTCAGGCTAGGGGGCCATTTCAATTCTAGTGTAACCTGAGAAGGTTGTTTCTTGTAAAGAAGGGAGGCAGCTTTTATTTTGGCTACTTGCCATGAAGTTAATTCCAAAGAGCATTCAAGTGGATCCAGCCCTGTGAAGTGATTCTTGTTTCCTTGCAGTTCTCCTGACCAGCCAAGACCCACAGCCAAGCAGCCCACCAGACCAGAAGCGTAGGTAGCCCTGGCCAGGCCAAGAATCTCATAGGTTCTTAAAAAAGAATTCACCTGTTCCTCTATCCATTGTGCTAAAATTTGCCTGAAGAAGAATAGCTGTGTGATTTTCTATTTTCTAGACTATGGCTCTAATCTATCAAGTTGTGTTTTGTCTGTGTGCTGAGCAGATCTCAGAATAAAGCAGTTTTTTAAATGTTTTCTAAACATTCTCATTGTTCATTCATTGCCATTCTGTCAAATATTTGGCACATCAGTTGCCCGGAAATCTGACAGGTGTGATGGCATTGATTTGAGTTATTTCCCCCTCTAAATTCTTTGCCAGAGCTCTGATGTGGTAAGAACCATTACACCATGTCTCATCTGTTCCCTGCATTTCAAAAATGCATTCTTCTAAAAGAATGACCAAGTCCTCCAAAGGCTGGAAAAAGAAGTCACTGCTTCACTTCAAAAGTGATCAGGAAACAATAAAGACACTGGTAGAAAACAGGAGAACCAAAAAGAACCAAGCATGTCTTAGCATTTTGCCATGGAAATTCTGCCTGTTTCTAGTTTTGGAATTACTTGCTTCCAGGATGAAAAAGAAAAGACACATAAGATGGAAGGAACACATTCTATTTTAACAACAGACATTGTTATTGTGGTCACGGCAGATGCAGAACTCTACATCAACACTTTTCTAGCTCTGGATAAGCATTTAAATATTGCAAGAACTCACTCCTTCGATGTTATCATTGGGAACCTGAGAGACTTAAGCCACAGGGAGGTAATATAAAATAACACTAGTGTGATCGAATTTCCTTCTTTTTTTTTTTTTCCATTTCCTTTCCTGAAAATCGTTAACATTTGTTTTAGTGCAGAGATCATTTGATGGATTTATCTTGAAGGAAGAATAATGTGGCCAAGGCTTATATGTGTTTTCTTTCTTATTTCTGAAATCCTGTAAAACCCCAGAGTGTGAAAACTTTTATACTGAGACAAAAACTACCAGGAAATGAGAATAGTCTTGTTGGAACAACAGTAGCATAATAATATTGAAGGTGTAGGAAGCCTGACTGCAGCATAGGGTTTAAGAGGTGTATTAGTCTGCTAGTGCTGTTACAACAAAATTCCACAGACTGGGTGGCTTAAACAACAGAAATGAATTGTCTCAAGTTCTGGAGGTTGGAAGTCCAAGATCAAGGTGTTTGCAGGTTTGGTTTCTCCGGAGACTTCTCTCCTTAGCTTGAAGATGGCCATCTTCTCCCTGTGTCTTCACATGGCCTTTTCTCTCTGTGTGCATTTCCCTCGTGTTTCTCTTTCTTCTTGTCAGGACGCTGATCATATTGATTATGGCCCCATCCTAGCAACCTTAATTTAATCACATCTTAAAGAGCTTATCTTGAAATACAGTTACATTCTGAAGTATTGGAGGTTGGGATTCAACATAGGATTTTGCGAGTTGGGGGCACAATTCAGTTTATAACATGGGATGAGAGAACATGGCTCCAATAAAAAGACATTTAAAGAGGAAGAATGTGCCATTAGAGTTAGCAACATTCACAGGCACTAAGGAGAAACTGTGATGACTGATTAGAGCCAGTGAATTGTAGAAGGGAATTCCCTGATTCTTCAGTCATAATATTGGCTCTTCAGCTAGCTGTGAACCTGGAGAATTCTTTAACCTCTTGTAATCATATTAGATACTTCATCAAAATAGGATAAAAATGGCCACTGAACCCACCAAGCATAGATCAAATACATTCTATATTTTAAATTTTAAAATGCAATCTTAAATATAAAGTATTTTTATAGCTGCCAATTCTCTGGGGAAATTCTCTGGAGGAAGTAAATGTTGAGGAACATTTTGGAAGAGGAGAAAAGGGGAAAGCTGCCAGAAAGAAGAGCACATTTTCCGTGGGAAAATTATTTGTATTCATAAAGCAAGTGTTTTTTTGAATAAGGGACAATTTAGAAGACTTGATTCTTTGTAATGAACAACTCAATACACCATCTCTTTCTTAGGCCTTGCAATCTTCATTTTTTTTTAATTTGGGGAACTGGGTAATTGATTAACTTGTTACATGGCCTTAGTCACAGTGCCTTAGTTTCCACATACATAGAATGGAGAAAACAACATCTGCTTAGCCAATTCACAGAAACTTAAATAATAGATGAGAAATTTCTTCAAATTGGTTAAAAAGAAACTGTGCAGTTGGGAAGTGATAATATTTTAAATAACAGAACTAGCCGGTATCCAGCACCCAGCATATGACAAGAGCTGAATAAATGTTCATTGACTGACAATGATGGTTTAAATAAAACACCAAATTTTTAAGAAGAGTGTAATTCCAAGCTGATACTTTTGGAATTGACTTTTCAGTGTCATGTAGGAAAGAGAAATGACAGAAACAGGATAGCCAACTGGGATGCACACGGGCATGATCCAGTTAGGGCCAATCTAAAGGCTATGAAAATTGAGAGGGAAGGGATAACATACTTTGAAAATTAGGGACATCGGCAGATAAGTATAGAAAGAAGGTTAAACAAACCACCAGTCTTGCAATGATAAGGCAATTTTCTTCATTATAGAATTAAAAAGTGTGTTTTTGCAGGCTTTCTTCAAATGCTTATGCAATGCACAATACATTGCTTTGTCTGCAAGATGATTCTATGGAATAATTTTTCCTCTTAGAACTTTTATGGAATTCTGCTCAAATTTTCTCAATTTCACTCTCCATTACCCCTAGTTATGCCCTAGATACCCACACAATAAAGCTCAAAGTACACTTTATTTTCCTTAATACTCAGCTCTTTTGTCTCTCCCTGTCTCCACCAACAAAAAGTGTCCCTTCCTGTATATTTTAATATTTTCCACAGTTTTATTTCTATCTTTATACGTTTATAATCTCTTTCTTGTGCTGAAAATTGACTTGGAGTAGATTTTTAGATCTCATTATAAAATGGGTGTGGAAAATTGCTTCTAAAACTGGTTATATTATGTTCTTTCCTATCAAAATACCCTTACTGTGTTACTTAGCAGTTCTTCCCATCAAGAGATGAATACAGCCCTACCCATAGAATCTGGGCTGGCCTTATTACTTGCTCTGACCCATAGAATGTGGCAGAAGTGAAAGTTCAGGAATTCCAAGTTTAGGCCCCAAGACAGTCTTGATCATTTGCTGTTTCAGAATTCTGACTTGCCAACATGTGGGCTAGCTTGCTGAAAGATAAGACCTTGTGTTGCAGAAATGAGCCATCCCAGCTGACTGTAGATTTGTAAGTCCAGCCAAGCCCAGAAGAACCAGCCAGTTGAGCCTAACTCAAATTGCTGGCCCACAGAATCAGAAGCTACGTAAATACCATTTTAAAGTAGTTCTTTATGCATTGAAAGCTAACTATTACAGTGGGCTACCTGGGATGTTTATGAAGTCTCCTTCTCATTTATTCTGTAAGTAATGTTTGCAGCAATTCTTACATCAGTGTGCTACTGGATAAAGGATGAGTAATACCTTGAAGACATTTCAAACTCCTTAATTTTATTATGTAGTAACATCCAGATACATTTTTTTATTAATGACATTTGGAACATGCCAATATTCTTAAATATGCCAAAGTAAAAGTCCAGAAGTTATATATTTTCATTTAACTTTGCTCTTGCAAACATCTCCTGTAGGTTCAAATATAAAGAGGATCTGTCAGTGAACAGAATCCAGAAAAGGTTAATTTTCTTGATGCTGTCATGGAGAGATCATTGGCTTGGTGCCATTGCTGGTGTGGGGTCATAGCCAATCTGGGAATGAACAGCTGTTGTTATTCAGAAAAATTCAGACAATATTTGGGAAGACATTATTCAGGAGAAATAATTAAGAGAAAAATGAGAAAAAGGCAAACTAAATCAGAATAGCATTTTTAGACTGTAAAAATACCTAATGATTCCAGAATTGTTTAATATGCTTTCCAATATAGTCCAGAGGGAAGGGAGGTAGAAATAAACAGGATTTGTAATGTCCCTAACAAGACATTTATTTGGAGAGCAACATGACGTAGTGACAGAATACAGGATTTGGAGTCAAGAGATGTTGATTCTAAGTTTTTGCTAGGGCAATAATTTTTTTATGTTTTCATACACATGGAAATAAGTAACTTTCAGCTCTGCTTATGACTGTCTTAAAATATATTCACACCATCTTAAAATATATTCATGATTTCTACATAAGGAATCATATATAATTGGTTTATTATTGTCAATTTAAATTTAAATTGAATTAAATATATTTGTTCTCAGTTTTAATTTCTAATATTGTAAATACTGATAGGCATAACCCATAAACAACAATTCTTTGGCATTTTTAGTAACTTTTAAGAACATAAATGAAAACTGAGACAAAAAACATTGAGAACCATTGCTGTAGAGAAAGTTGGGTCAGTTATTATAACATCCATGTTATAGATTGGGAACTAAAGCAATTAAAAATGAATTCTCTTGATGAAGATGACTTATTAGAGACTGATCTAGAATGAATACCTTCTAACTCAAAGTTTCTTTCACATTTTAACTTTACTATTCCCAATACAATTTTAATACTAAAACAATTACATTGTTCAAAATAAATACAATAAAAATATAATTTTTAATTTGTCTGAATTTTTACACAATAGTTTCATATAACCATTAACATAATTAAAATACAAAACAGTTTCATCACAACAAAATATTCCCTCATTTACCCCTTTGTAATCAACCCCCTTCAAGTGATGTATTTTGACTTTTTGAGAATATCATATAAATGAAATCACATAATATTTACCATTTTAAGACTAGCTGCTTTAGCTCAGCATATTGCCTTTGAAGACATCTAAGTTGTGTGTATCAAGGGTTCATTTCTGTTTATTGAGAGTAGTGTTCCATTGTAGGAATGTTTCACCGTTTGTTTATCTATTCACTCACTGATGGATGTCTTGGTTGTTTCCAGTTGGGCCAGTGCCAGTTTGGGCCAGTGTCCAGGAATGCAATTGCTGGGTCATATGGAAATCCTCTAAGAAGCTGCCAAACTGTTTTCCAGAGTGGATGTAATATTTTGCATTCTCACCAGCAATTTATAAAGTTCTAATTGCTCTGCATTCTCACCAGCCTTTGGTATTACCAATATATGTATATATATTTTTTATTTTTAGCCTATTTTACATTTTATACTAAGTATGTAATGGTATCTCAACATTGCTTCAATTGAGGATGTCTTGGATGTTAAACATATTTTAATGTGCTTACATTTCATGTATATATGCTTTTTGGTGAACTATTGCTTCAAGTCCTTCGCTCATTTTTTAATTGGGTTGTTTGATTCTTTTATTGTTGAGGTCTGAGAATTCTTTACATATTCTGAATGAAAATAATAGCCTAGACATATAATTTGCAAGTATTTTCCTAGTCTGGAGCTTATCTTTTCATTCTCTCAATAGTGTCTCTCACTTGCTACCCAAGTTTTTAATTTTGATAAAATTCTGTTTATCTATTTTTTTAATTTGATGGATTACGCTTTTGGTGCCATGTATAAGTACTCTTGGTTAACCCTAAGTCACGCAATTTTATTCTATATTTGTCCTAAAATAAGTTTATATCAGTTTTATGTCTGACATTTGTATCTATAATCCATTATGTGTTAATTTTTGTATAAGGTGTAAGGTTTAGGTTGAAATTTTGTTGTTGTTGTTCATTTGATATACAATTCTTCTGACACCATTTGTGGAAAATACTATTCTTTTCTCAGTGAGTTATCTTTGTTTTTAATTCTTTTTTTCTTTTGTACTTTTTTTAAAAATTTACTTTACGTTCTGGGATACATGTGGAGAAGGTACAGATTTGTTACAGAGGTATACATGTGCCAAGGTGGTTTGCTGCACCTATCAATCCATCATCTAGGTTTTAAGCCCTGCATACGTTAGGTATTTGTCCTAATGCTCTCCCTCCCCTTGCCCCCAGCCCCCAACAGGCCCCAGTGTGGGATGTTCTCCTCCCTGTGTCCGTGTGTTTTCATTGTTCAACTTCCACTTATGAGAGAGAACATGAGGTATTTGGTTTTCTGTTCCTGTGTTAGTTTGCTGAATATGATGCTTCCAGCTTCATCCATGTCCCTGCAAAGGACATGAACTCATTATTTTATGGCTGCATAGTATTCCATGGTATATATGTGCCACCTTATTGCACTAACTAGGACTTCCAATTTAGTATTGAACATGACTGGTGAGAGTAGAAATTCTTCCCTTGTTCTGAGTCTGTACTGGGAAGGCATTCAATATTTTACCACAAACTATAATGTTAGCTATAGTTTTTTTGCAGATGCTCTTTACCAAGTTGTAAAAGTTCCTTTGTTACCAGTTTGCTAAGAGTTTTTATCATAAATTAATCTGAAAGTTTGTCAAATTCTTTTTCCTCATGAATTAATGACCATGTTGTTTTTCTTCCTCAGACTGTAATATGGTGGATACCAATTGCTTTTTGAATACTGAAATTGTCTCACTTTCCTGGCATAAATTTCACTAGGTTGTGGTGTAGCATTCTTTTTATATATTGCTAAATTTGATTTGCTTATATTTTGTTCAGGATTTTTGTATTCATGCTAATGAGGGGTGTTGATCTGTATTTTTTCTTATATTATCTTTATCTATTTTTATCAGAAAAATGCTGGTCTCATAAAATGAGTTGGGAAGCATTCTATCCTCCTCTATTTTTCATTAGGAAGTATGCAAAATTTGTTTTTCCTTAAATGTTTGGCAAAATTCTCCAGGAAACCCGTTAGGGCCTGGATATTTCCTTTTTGGAAGATTTAAAAAAATGAATCAATTTCTTAATGGTTGTAGAGCTATTCAGTTTATTTAATTCCACTTGGGTGAGTTATGGAAGCTAGCAGTTTCAAGGGATTGTGTCATTTTATTTACATTCTCAACGTTATGTGCATAGATTTGTTTTAGTAGTCCTTTGCTATGCTTTGATTGTCTTCAAAATCTGTAGTGATATAACCTGTTTTATTTCTTTCTTTTTTTTTTTTTTTGAGACAGAGTCTCACTCTGTTGCTGGGGCTGGAGTGCAATGGTGCGATCTGCTCACTGCAATCTCCGCCTCCCCAGTTCAAGCAATTTTCCTGCCTCAGCCTCCCAAGTTGCTGGGATTGCAGGTGTCCACCACCACACTCGGCTAATTTGTATTTTTAGTAGAAACTGGGTTTTGCCATGTTGGCCAGGCTGGTCTCAAACTCCTGACTTCAGGTGATCCACCCCCACTCGGCCTCCCAAAGTGCTGGGATTACAGGCTCATTTCTTTATTGGTAATTTGGGTCTTTATTCTTTCCTTGTCAGTTTTGCCTGAGATGTATCAAATTTATTAATTTATTATAAAGAAACAACTTATGTTTTCTTTTTTCTCTATCTTTTTATTTTCAATTTTATTAACTTATTCTTTTTTATTTCATTCTTCCTGCTTGATATGAGTTTGTTTCACTTTTCTCCCTTAAGATAGAAGTTCATTAGCTTGAAGCCTTTCTTTTTTATCCAGTGTAAACATTGAATGCTATAAATGTACAGTTAAACACTGCTTTAACTGCCTCTCACAAATTTTGATATGTTGAAAATATTCTTTTTGTCTTTGAGATGTCCTCTTTGATCTGTAAATTATTTAGAATTATCTTACTTAATATTCAAGAGATTTGAGATTTTCCTGTTAGCTTTCTGTTATCTATTTATAATTTAATTACACTGTGGTCAGAGGACACACTCTGTATTTACTAAAGTTTATTTTATCATCCAGGGTAAGATCCATCTTGGTCAATGTTTCATGTACACTTGAATAATAAAAAAAATGTTTTTGGCTATGAGTTTTATAAATGTCAAATAGATCCAATTGGTTGCTAATGTTTTTCAGTTTTTCTATGTTCTTGGTGATTTTCCATCTGTTGTTTCTACTGATAACTAAGACAAGACTCTTGTCTTAGATGTAGTCTCCAACTACATCTCCAAGTACAATTCTAAATTTGTCTAATTCTTCCTTCAGTTCTGTTATTTGTTTTATGCATGTTGAAGCTTTGTTGTTTGGTGCATATTTACAATTATTATGTATTCTTGGTAAATTTAATTTTCTATTATTATTTAATGTTCTTTTTTTCCTGGTAATTTTACTTGCTCTAAAGTCTATTTTGTATGATATCAATATAGCCATTCTTACTTTCTTTATATTGGTATTTGTACAGTATAGTTTTCTGATTCCTTTACTTTTAATCTAACCATATAATCATATTTGAAGTAAGTTTTTGTAGGCAACACACAATTGGATCAGGTTTTCTTTTATTAAAAAATTCTGACAATCTCTGTTTATTTTGTTTTTCATTAGCTCTCTTAGACCATTTTTGCTGAATGTAATTTTTGATATGTTTGAACTTGGGTCTACCACTTTATTATTTGATTTGTATTTCTTCCCTCTCTTATTTGTTCCTCTGATTCTAGTTTCTTACCTTCTTTTGAGTTAATTGACCAATATAAAAATATAAAAATCCTAAAAAGTATTCTGTTTTACTCTATTTTTTTATTTCTTTGTACAAGATTTTAGTGGTTTCTCTAGAAATTATAATATGTATATAACTTTTCTCAATTTAAAATCAATAGTTTACCAATTGAAGTAGAATGTAGAAAACTTGCCATCATTTAGGTATCCTTACCCCAGCCCCCTTTGTGATATAGTTGTCTAATGTTACATCTACATACCCTGAAAAATATATCAGAGAATGTTATAACTTTTGCTTTCTACTATCAAACATATTAAAAAGAATTCAATAGGAAAATAGCCTATTATATTTACCCAGTTATTTACCATTCTGTTGCAATTCCTTTATTTCTTACCATCCCCAAGTTTCCTTCTTGTATCATTTCCCTCTCTCTGATGAACTTTCATTAGCAATTTCTTCAGTCCTGGTCTGCTTGCAATAAATCCTTTTAGTTTTAATTCATTTGTTAATGTCCTTATTTTACTCTCATTTCTGAAGGATATTTTTGCTTGATAGAGAAATCTGGGTGGGTTTTTGTTTTGTTTTGTTTTTGTCTCACCACATTATTGTTCTCACTTCTGTTTTTTCCTTATGAAAAATGCAGTCATTCAAATCATTGCTATCCTATAAGTAATGTGATTGATATTTTTTTCTGGTTTCTTTTATGATTTTTTTCTTTGCTTTTAGTTTTAAGGAGTCTGATTATAATACATCACTGAATTTCTTTGGGTGTATTCTGCTTAAGGTTTTCTGCACTCCTTAAATCTACAGGTTTATGTTTTTCTCCAAATTTGGAAGTTGTTATTTCTTCTTAAATACTTTTCCAGCATAATTCTCTTTTTCCTCTTCTATTGTGTCTTCAACGATACAAATTTTTAACTCTTTGGCATTGTACCGCAAGTCCTTAAGACTCTGGTCATTCTTTTTTTACAAAGTCATTTTCCAACCTATAATTCAGATTTGATGTACATTTTAAAATCTATCTTCAAGTTTATGAACTATTTGTTCTGTCATTTCCATTCTTCTATCAAGCTCATCCAGTGAGTTTCAAAATCTGATTAAATTTATTTTTCAGTTCTAAAATTCTCTGGTTCTTATTTATATATTTTATTTATTTGGTGAGACTTCTCTCTTTCACTTCATTTTAACAGTATTTGATCTTACTGTCAGAGGACTTTTCTAATAGTTTCTTTGAAGTCATTGTTAGATAATCTCAACATCTGTGTCACCTCAGTGTTGGCATCCGTTTATCTTCTTCTACACACATTGACATTTTCCCAGTTCTCCCTATGCCATGCAATTTTGGATTATATCCTGGACATTTTTACTATTACACTATGATTCTCTGAGTTTTGTGTAAGTCTTCTGGAGAATGTTGATATTTCTGTTTTAGCAGGCAATTGACATGGCTGGTTTCAGATTGCTAGTTCTGACAAGCCTTATAGGAGCTGTAGTCTTAATGTCAATTCCTTGTGCCTTTGCAGAATTATTTGGATTTGCCTATGTGTGTGACATCTGTAGTCATTCTGAGTTATGGGTGATCTATCTTGTAGTTCAGTTCTCAAAGTTGACATTATGCTATTATGTGTCAAAGCCATACACGTGCATCTTGTGGTATTCCTTGAGTTTATAACTACTTTTTCTGGTCACTCTCCTAGCTCCTTCCTCTCTGTGATCGCCCTAGAACTTTTGGCTCCAGAGCTCCCCTTTTCAGTTCAGACAGAAATATGGGGCTTTATTTTTCAGCTCTGTCATGCACTTCCTGCAACTGTGATCATTTCTTGAGCCTAATTGCAGCAAGAAAAGAGAGAAATAAACAAGTGCTTACCTCACCCTTTGGGGTCCAATAACTTCTGATTTTAAAGAAAAGGTATTTTCCTCACTCCATTAGGCTCCTATGCACCCAGTTATCATCGTTATTACTGTTATTGCCACTGCCACCACGAATAGCCCTGGATTAGTTGATGATGGGGTGGAAGGTGGCATGTAGGAGAGAAAGGAGAAAATAAACACCAAAGGGGGATTTCTTCTACTTTCTGAGCATCGAAGACCTCCTTCCCATTTTGCAACCCAAAACTTGAGGGCTTCTCTTGTAGCTCTATGTAACTGCAAGGACATCTATTTCTGAGTTTGGGCTGCATTGAGCTCAAACTGGATGTATCAGAGAAAAAATGATAAGATTATTGGTGATTTAGTGGCACTTAGCATTCTGGTCTTCTTTCTCAATTTGCCTACTACTGTTTACTTTCCAGAGTTCTCAAATACCTGTTGATGCATTCTGTCCATGTTTTATAGCTGCATTCAATAAAAGAGACAGCGTGTAATGCGTGTAATGTTCTTACTCCATCTTACCTGGGACCAGAATTTCAATGAACTTTTTCACAATCACATAAGGCAAGCGCTACAAATGTCTAAGAGGATCTTCAGAGCATCCATTAGGGAAATATGCTAGTTGAACTTTATGCCACAATTTAGTTCTCTGACTTCAGTCTCCATTTGTGATCTTTTACTTTTAATACCTAGTATTATGGTAATTTCTCAGAAGGAGTTTCCCTAGCCTGAATCAGAAGTCAATTTTCCCCTCAATGTCTTACAGTACATTTGGTATCTAATTGGAATGTTTAAATAAAGTTTCATTCAAAGTTAATGATAAAAGAAATAAGTAGATATAGAGTAATATGTGACTAAGATGATGGGTAGGCAAACTAAGGCCTTTTCGTAAGCCACATTTAGCCATATCAATTCATTTATCTATTGTCTATGGCTGTTTTTGTGTTATAACAGTAGAGATAAACAGGTGTGGGAAAGACTGTCTGACTTTTCAATGCCTAAGATATTTACTGTCTTGCCTTTACAAAAAAAGTTTGACAATTATTGAACTAGATTATCTGAACTGCAAGGTATAGATCATTATGGTCAGCTTGGCGCTCCAAGACATTCTTCTATTAAACTTCTAGCCTGACCTCCTATCTGTGAATGGTAGTGTACCCTCTAGATAGTCCTTTAGGGTAATGGGAAGTCTTTCCCTTTTCCTTCTAAAATCCTAATTCCATTCATTCCATTAATACCAATAAGATAACTGTTATTTTTCGACACACTGCTAGATGCTTAGGATACAGTGTGACAAAAGATAGATGTCACACTTAAAATATAAAGTAGCTTATGTATATAATTGAAAGCAACCCATTTCTAACAGCTCCTTATTGATCCTAAATCTATTCTATTAGGCAACATAGAGAAACTCTAATATCTCTTTTACATAATAGCATGTCTGATCAGAAAATATGTTTTATGTTTTTTTAGAATCTTCTCTTTCCCAGGTAAATATTTGCTTTCTTACTTTGTGATCAAGAAATGATGTTAAAAATGCAAGTCTAGTGAGAAATATTCATGCTTGCTGATGTATCTTTGCATTATCTGCAAATGCAGAGAGTACATCTAATTTGTTAGTATGCTGTCCCAAAACATACATAGTGAATTATCCCGGATAATGGATGAAAACCTCCTTTAGTTTCAGAAACTGATAAACATTTCCCATTACACATGTTACATTTCCATTTACTTATGAAGAATAAAATTTAAAATATGCTTATTTCAAAACTGAGAGGAAAGTTTAACAAAACTATTGAGCAACAAAATCACAAGTTGAATTAATCTAATCCCATGAATTGTAATGACTGTTTTCTCGATATTTTATAGGCTCTTCTTGCCTGTCGGCTTCTTCTCAACCATAAAATCGTAGCATTTTCTCTGTAGAAAATATATCCATAATGCAAATCAGGAATAAGTTAATAAATGGCCTAATGTCAGAAGTGCTATAAAGAGAGGTAAAAAGAAGATTGCTGTGGACTTTGTGTATTTTTGCTGTTGTTAAACTTAATTATTTAATTATTTATTTTTTTCTTTACATTCATGAACCAGGAAAGTCAAGAAACCATTTTGTTTGGAGTGTTGGAATCTAGATTAGTTTGAGACTATAATTCATTTAATGGATCAAAGGTTACAAAAATGCCAAATAGCATCTGGATTGGAAAAAAGTTAGAGTCAAGTAAAAATATGACTAAACAAAAGCTGTAGGAAATAGCTGAAAGATGTTCTCTCTAAATTCATGTTGTTTGTAGTGTCCAGCTAAAGTATCTGGGTCTAGATTGGGAAACTTTTCAGGGCTATAAATGATTTTTTTGAAACTGTGAAGCTTTATTTTGTGGTCTGTTACTCCAAGAAGAAACAAAAATTTGGTCATGAATATAAAGAAAACAAAACAATTGGCATGAAGTTGCTTCAATATTTTCATCCCATGACTTCCCCCAAAATTCTCAGCACCATTACATGTTCTATTTGAACACTATGTATTCAGAGACAGAGCTAAACACTGCCAGATTTTGAGACATGAAAATAATATAGATTACTTCTACTTATGAATTTGTCAAATTTTATTCACTGGCTCATTTCTACTATTTCACAAATGACTGTATTTCTCTTTTCATAATCTTTAATCATTTATTTAGTGGTTTTTACTCTTGACGATCCAAGAGAATAAATCAGAAATATGTAGCTTGATGCTTTAAATTTATTTATTTATTTTCCTACTGAATATTCATTTTAGATCAACCGTTTTGTTAATAGAAACACTAGGAATATATGGAATTATAAAGCAGGAGCTGCATACAATTCTCTTACCCTTACAAAAATATTAGAAAAATTAATATGGGGGACTGGGCATAATACTGATATGAAAATAAAGAAGGTTTCATAATAGGACTGACACATACTCTTTTGCGTTCTCTGAAACATATACTTTCCAGAGATGAAAGGAGTATAATTGATCACCATGGGTCCTTTTGGTTCTGGTGTCAAAGAAGCTCAGGGGCAAAGTTAGAGTTCAACTGTACAATTGAGTCAATTTTGCTATTCTTTCTTTTAAAATACAGTGTACCTGCATTCTTTCTTTCCCCTTATATCTTATTTGCTGACTCTGTTCCCCCAATATTATTGTGTTTCTTGTTGCACCTTTTCTATAAGTTACCTTAACTCATTTTTTCAAGAGTAAGGTTTAGACAAATTAAATGTCGAAAAAAATACACAGTGCAATGTCATCACTAGATCGTGACTCGAAAGCCTTGAGTTCAACCATAGAGGTTGTTACATTGAGAAATATTCCTAGCTACTTTTATGAGTTTGATCAGGACTACAATTCTCTCTCTTCAGAGACAAAAACAGGAACTGAGTAGTAGAAAATACAGCTGGGAAGGATGATCTCAGAGCACTTCTAAAATTTTCTCTGAAAATAACACAAATGTTAAAGCAAACAGAAAGTACCAAAGCAGAATTCTATAAGCCTATTGGTACTTTATCTGGTTAATTACCTGGGTAAGAATTCATCATCAACAAATAACCAGAAATGGGAAAATGGCATGTGAATTGTAGTAAAACAAACAATAACTCATTTCATCCCAACATTTCTTATAACCCCTACCTCTGCTGCCTCATAGACATAGACAATTATAATGTAATAACATGAACTCAATTAAAATAGCAGAGTATTTAGGTAGTTGTATGGACTTTAAGGTCAAAATGATGAGGGTTCAAATTTGGTTTTGCCTCTTACTTGTCATAATCCTGGGAATTTTTAAAGGCTTGAACGTTAACTTTTCTCACTATAAATAATAAGGATATTACCTTCATAAGATTGTCATAAGAATTAAATGAGGAGATGTATATATATACATACATATATATATGTATGTTACTATCACAATTTTAAGTGGTCAATAATATTAGCTGCATTCATCTTTATTTAGAAGTACAGAAAAGCATAATCCATCTTTTCTTTATTGTAATGGAATCTAAAGATGTCATTTTTTAGTACAAAGTAGAAGGGAAAATTAAACAAACTTTTTCACATGATTAATGGCTGAGGTGACTACAGGTTAGTTTTACAGACTGATCACAGACTGATCAATGTGGTTGATATTGCACTCATGTTGCTAGGACTGTCGAAGCAACTGATTAAAATATTGCTCCATAATTTATTAGACAACAACACCATCAGGAAAGGATGGCTTACTTCTCCTGAACTTAGACCCCTGGGAAAACTCTGACACCTCTAAAATCAAACAGTATTTGACAGCAGTGTCTGCAAAAACTAGTTCTAATTATTTACTAACAAAAAAAGAAGATTATTTCTTATTGTGCCATGCTGAGAATTATTCTGTAATAAACCGGAAGGACAGAATCACATTTGCATTCCAAAATTATCTGGTTCCTATGCTTTTCTCACATCACCATAATTGTACGTTCACCCGAAATGCTCTTCCATGTCACCCTCAGGATCCATCCTTTCTCTCTCACTCTGACATACACTCTCCCAGACCCCACTTTATCAATATTTGATCATGTGTATTTGTGGATGGAAGCTAGAGTTATCCTCTGATATTTCTGAAAGCAAAACTAATAATCTTCCTTGCTAGAGATTCCTGGCCAATATCCTTTCTTTCAGAAAGCATTGTAGTGTGATCTCACAGGTGAGCCTTTTCTGATCATCCAATAGTTGATGCCCTTTACCTTCACAGTAATTATGCTACCTTAGCATTCATCTTACTAAAAACATCTGGGGAGAACTTAAGTGTGAAAGGCGCAATATGAAACCCAATATTTTTCTTTCGAGGAATATCACTGATTGCAATTTCACAGAAAGGGAATATCTAGCAACTGCAAGTGAGAAAAGAAAAAGAAGTTTAGAAAGATTTATTGAGTAAGGAAAGCCCTCAGAAATCTTCTTTTACAACTAGAGAAGAGCTTTAAGTTCTTTGACACAATGCAATATGACGAACTAAGTCCTCCAATTAAAAAAAAATTCCCATTACAAAACTACAGATTATTTACTAAAATTACAGAACAAGCTCGGTTATTTACAGGAAACTATGACTCTGGTATATGTTTTCCCAACAGTTAAAAGGAGAGAAAAATCTATTTTGGTACTATTAGTTAGCTCACAGCTGGGTTTAATAATGAGGGGTGTTTGGGATATTCGATGTGGTATGTAAGACAAACCCAAGGAGGTTTATTTAACTATGGCCAATGGCCAGAGACAACAAAGATAATGACCAGTGGGAAATATCTATTTCATTCAATTTCCAGAGTCTAGGGAAAAGCTTATGTTATAGAACTTACATGTAATCTAAACGAATCTTTTAGTCACAAATCAACACTTGCTATTTCTTCCCCATGTTTTCTTATTGAAATAAATGGAACTTGCTAGAAAGGGGCTAAGTATCTCAGAAAAGGCAGAAAGAAAAATCCAAGGGAAGGAATAGGTCAGAAGAACCACAAGATTAAGGAGAAAGGGTTGAGAATGAATACATTGATTTTCTTTTTTTAGAAACTTGATTCATTTAGCCAACATGCAGGAGCCCCTTAAATATTAAAAGCACATGAAGGAAAGATAAGCCCAGGTTCTGAGTTTGATGTGCTGAGTATTCCCTTAAAAATACAGTTTCACATTATAGTACATACTGTAACTTAAATTATAATAGTGATTTTATTTTAGAAATCCTAGGATTGCCTACTCTATTGAGAGATGAGAATAATTCACAGTTAATAATATTAGTAATTTTTATTAAAATGTTTACTCCTAATTTCTTGGGAAGTCGATCTTTCATTGTTATTAGAATACTCCCTACAGCCCCAACAATCTCATTTGCTCTTTTAAAATCTATTGGCTCATTTAGCAAAGAAAAGTTCTGTTATGTCTTTTATTGAATTATCAAAAGTTGTCATAATACTTATCAGATTATGCTTTGCTGCTCTAGTTTCCAATTCCCCTTATCTAATTGGAAAGGGAAATGTCATATCTTTCTGTTTTAAATGGCCTTACATGTAGTTTTGCCTGCTTTCTTGTCAAGAAGCTTGTGCTTCTCTCCCTGCATCTGGTTCTGTGAGGACGTTCTGCCTTATATCTTTTTGGTAGAAACAGTGATTAAATCCCCCTTCCCCCTCCTAACTTTAGACAGACATAATCTAATCTGTGTCATACGAAAAGACCAATTAGTCTCGCCCACTCTCCAGCCTTCTGTCCCTCCCCTCTCAGCTGCTACCCTCTTGGCACTCCACCTCTTTTAGGAAGTAGTGATGGGAGCCAAATTTCTAAACTGAATTCATTAGATGAATATGCAGGTCCAGATTGCATAAATGTGCTCACATCCTCAAGTAGAACTCAGACTCAAGACTTCTGACTTTTTCCATGCAGCACATTTCATGTTCGTCAGATTTCCCACTGCAAAACCTCCTCACTGGCTAGAAAGAAAGAAAAGCTGCATGGACTTGAATGAGGGCAAGTGGAAAACCCAGAGCTGGATGACACAAAATACACGCAGAGAATGTCATCTTTTCTTTGATGTAGTAAGTTATTTTTTACAGCCTTTTACAAGTAGTAACCTGCCTACTTCTGACAGGCATAGGTGGCCTGCAGAGTCTAGATGATAAATGGACAAGGCAAACCATTCATAATTCATGTGGAGAGCACTTGCACTACAACCAGTAGGGTTAACCACAATCAGAACGGAACCCTGGAGACCAGACATGGAAACACAGCACAGCTGGTGGTGCACGATTCTGATGAGTGCTATTCCTATATAGCCAGATTGGAGCCACCACGGCTGGAGACAGCACTGCCAAGAAAGCCTGACCCATCTAAGTGTTGTGGGACCAAAAGAGAAAACACGTAAGATCGCTTCATTTTGTTTGTGTTGTCCGAAATGGTTTTCTACTAAAGGAGACATGAACATTCTACAGTAGCTGGTAGTTTAAATTTCAAAACAGATAACTATAAATATTACCTCATGTTACCTGACAGGAAGATTATAGTAACTGTCTCTGGGTAAATCACTAAAATAGACATTGGACTTTTTTTTTTTTTTCAATTTTACGGTGTCCATCAATAAAACCGAAGTCACACTGCAAATGGGCCTACTACTCCATGTTTATTAGGGAATACTATTGTTGACTTCCTGATGTTTTAAAAACACAGGTAGACCCCTTTGGATTAACAGAGAGTTTCCTTATAAATACATAGATATGAGAGTGAGACACAAAGAGGTACAGAAAGAAACAGAGAAAGAGTCTCACTCTGTTGCCCAGGTTGGAGGGCAGTGGTACCATCTCAGCTCACTGCAGCCTCCGCCTCCCAGCTTCAAGCAATTCTTGGGCCTCAGCCTCCTGAGTAGATGGGATTACAGGCATGCACCACAATGCCCAGCTAATTTTTCTATTTTTAGTAGCGACAGGGTTTCACCATGTTGCCTAAGCTGGTCTCTAACTCCTAAATTCTAGAGATCCACCCACGTCAGCTTCCCAAAGTGCTGGGATTACAGGTGTGAGTCACTGTACCTGGCCTAAATGCCAAATATTATACATTTTTTTAATCTAGGGTTTGAGAGGACAGACAATGTAATAATATTTGTTCTGTGTGTCAGTTTGCCCCTCACACTGCAAATTCTAGCTGCCAAGTTCATTGCCATCTGCTCCCAAATCACCACCCACAAGAAGCCCAAAAAGTTATTTAATGTGATTTCACAGCCCATATCCTCATGACTAAGAAAATGTTGGCTGTGACACTATTGACTGTGTTCATACCTGCCTTAAATAGCAGACATAGATTACTGACCTAATCAATTGGATGGAAATCCCCATTATATTGGCAGGAAAACAAAACTATTTTGTTTAAATTTCAAAACAGATAACTATAAATATTATCTCATGTTACCTGACAGGAAGACCACAGTAACTGTCTATGTTATCTAAACTATCTAAAAATTAGATAATATTTTAGTAGAGTATCTTGAGGTCAATTTAGATATGGCCTGAGAGTAAAAACATGGCTACTTGGACATTGAGGCTGTTCTCGTGAAAACATTTCAGAGCACTGCCTCTTTTTCTAATATATTTGACAGTGTAAGTAAGAGTCAGAATTATTTTCTTTCTATTTTTTAAGTGGTTTTTAATCTTTTGTTGCTCAAATTTCAATTTAGTAAATTATCGATATGACCTGTGCAATAAAGTTTGTATGTAATCCCAGTGCAGTGGCAATCAAGGTAGCCTGGCAGTCTGTCTTTCTACAGTAATTTACCATTTCTCTGCATTTTCCACACTGTGACTTGTGCTGCATTACAGGAGCTGCTGAAGCCAGCTGGATCCTTTGTCTTCCCTTGACTTCTGGCCAGCCTCCATTCATATTGCTGCTACCAGAAGATTAAAAAAAAAACTCATAGGTTTAAACAGTCTATAAAACTATGATAGAAAATTATACTTGAGGTATTATTTATCAGCTAGCTCCTAGGAAGCTTCTAACATGTTCTGAACATGCGAAGCACATCATGGAAAACAAAAATGTACATAGCCAAGTTCTTGCCCTCATGGAAGGTTCAATAGAATTGATGATTTGAGGAAATAACCCCAATTTATTATGCATTTGAGCTTCCATAGAAGAGGTGACACATGGTCTGGAGGCCTTCAAGAATTAAATTGCCCACTTGAGGGTGTAAAAATTCAGAGTCTCTCTGAAAAGCTATCATCAACTTTTATCTAAGTTCTGAAAAATGTTCATAGTCTTTGACCAATAATTCCAATTCTAAGAAACAAACAAAAATAAAATAACCTACAATATACAGAAAGAATTATATACAAAGAGGGTCATCATAACACTATTCAGCAGAGTAAAAAGTTATAGCAAGAAATTAAATGTGAAATAACAAATAGGAGAAAAGTTAGATTGCGGCAAATAATATATTTCTGTATATACACCTAGCCTGGATCTTTGCATTAGAAGTATATAAAAATATGAGCTTCAATCATTAGATAATATTTTATAATGTTGTTTTAAATAGCCCCATATTTAGGATCTGGGCAAGGGTGAGGCAAAATAAGTATCTCGGTAGCAACATTTAAGGCAGCGCTCACCCTCTACAGTATTAGCATTTGGACAATGATGAGAGTGAGTCCTTACATTTTGTGACCTGAGCATCTCTCTTGCCTCATCTCAGTTCCAGCCTTGCACAAAGTATTCTGTAGATGTGCCACAATGTTCATAATTGTTGCTCTACTGTTGGGCACTTAGGTCATTGTTAATGTTTTGCTGTTATAAATAACACTATGATGATGTGGAAACAACATTATAGACATTAGATTTTATCATTGCAATACTTTTAAAGTTATAGGGTTTCTTCTTAAAAGGTTTAAGGATTTGATCTATACTGACACATTTCCTCCAGGAAGTTGATAGACATGGAAGTATATATATTCTTCTTCTAGTAGTATATTAGAGTGCTTATATTTTTTACATATTTTAATCTTTGCAATCTGATAGGATAAAAATATGGTTGTTTCCATTTTCATTTTTAGTGTCAGTGACATGAAATATTTAAATGCTTTCTTTTCCACTGTATGTTCATGTGTGCTTATTAGATGCTTATGTTGCTTAGCAATTTTTCTGTCAGTGTCTTTGATTTTCTCTTAAAGATTTGTACATTCTTCACAAATTAAAGCTATATACTCTGCCTCTCAGATATGTTACAAACTTTTTTTTCTTTTGCCATCTAGATTTATTTGCTGTGTTTCACTGTGCTCTATAAATATAGTAAAAAATAATAATAGTTACTACTTTGAGCATTTTGCATCAGGCACTGTTTTCATTCTTTAAGGGTATGTACAATTATTATTATTTTACATTGGATGAAACTGGAGGTACAGAAAGGTTAAGAGGTAAGAGAATATGCCCTAAGTCATTCAACTACTTAGAGGCAGGCCAAATTTCTTATCTAGGAAGTTAGGCGCCTGGTTCTGAACTCTTAAGTGCTACCATACATCATCTCATATGGTAGGATAGACAGTAAGAAAACTACAATTCAGATCTATTGACCATTTATGTTTTACTATCTCTATTGTTTGCTATTTTCTTTTTTTATGGTTTACTCTTCAAATAAGTAGATTAATGATAAATTATATAATCAATGATGTTGGGATATTTGCTATACTCATGCTTTTAAGAAATTAAATGCTTCATCTTATTATATAATAAAGTTTATTCCAGGTGGATTAAAGAGTTAAATGCCAAAAAATTAAATAAATTATGTCTTCTGAGAAAATTACACATTGTATCAACATTATCATTTAATTATATGTATAATTTTTCATAATCTTTTTGTGATCTTTTTATCTGTGGTTATCTGTCTTTTAACAGCACACCTTTCACGTCAATTTGTGAGGAAAACATTAATCTTACTTGTGCCCTATTTGAAAATGACTGACATTGAACAAGGGAAACAATAGCCAACACCATAAACATATTAATTGGTTCAGTTTACACAATCCTGACTGAAAAATTAAAGTTGAGCAAATTTTTCACTAGATGGATGCCAAAAACCATTGCACCCAGAGCAACTGCAGACAAAAGTAGAGCTTTCCATGGAAATTATAAACAAACGATATCAGGAACCTGAAGCGTTTCTTTGAAAAACAGTAACAGAAGATGAAACATGGCTTTACTGGTACAATCCTGGAAAAAAAGCACAATCAAAGCAATGGCTACCAAGAGGTGTAAATGGTCCAGTCATAGCAAAAGTGAACTGGTCATGAGCAAAGCTCACGGCAACAGTTTTTTGGGTTGCTCAAGGCATTTTGCTTGTTGACTTTCTGGAGGGCCAAAGAATGATAACATTTGCTTATTATGAGAGTGTTTTGAGAAAGTTTGCCAAACCTTTAGCAGAAAATGCCCGGGGAAGTTTCACCAGTGTCTTTCTGCACTGTGACAATACTCCTGCTCATTCCTCTCATTAAATGAGGACAATTTTGCAAGAGTTTTGATGGGAAATCATTAGGCATTCACATTATATTCCTGATTTGGCTTGTTCTGACCTCTTTTTGTTTCCTAATCTTAAAAACATCTTCAAAGGGCACCCATTTTTTCTTCAATTAGTAATGTAAAATAGAATACATTGATATGACTAAATTCCTAGGACATCAGTTATTTAGAGACAGACTAAGTGGGTGGTATCATTGCCTATAAAAGTGTCTTGATCTTGATGGAGTTTGTGTTGAAAAATAGTATATGTTTTTAATTTTTATCTTTTAATTCAATTTTCCACAAACTTTATGAAGACCTCCTTGCATACCTTCCATGCTTTCCAATTTTCTGTGTTTTTCACTTTTCATTCAGGCCATCCAGCTAGTGTTTAGCTTAGATTATTTTATTCCTTTAAAAAAATTCAAATAATTAACCCTTGGATTTATATACCACTGGCAGAGTTGCTTAAAGAATCATGAACTATTTCTTAAATAAATCTTGGCTTCTGTTTACCCTGAAACATGTCACACTGAGTTGTACAGATAAGTTGCCGAGCAATTACCAATCAGTATATGTAATTTAGAGCATCTGTCAGTGTTCAAAGCCAATTCTCTATAGGTCTTTCTCATTTCTGTACATCTTTTTAGCATAGGTACAGGGAACCTTTGTTCAGGACCATCTTTTCAAGAATGTTTATACAGCAAACAGCTTTGAAAAATAGAGATAATGTCTCCCTCTGAAACAGCGGTGAGATTTGTTTATTGTGTAGCAAAATAAAGAATATCTCCCTTTAGAACCAAAGTCAGGCAGGTTTCATGGCAGCCCATTATAAAAGATTTGGGTTTGGCTCAGTGTTCTTCAGCTGTGAAGTAAATCCACTGTGTGCACAGCATCCATCTGGCCCACTCTACATCTCCCCAGTAGGACTTGGAGTGCAATGGGAACTGATGCAAACATGGAACTCATAAAGTCCTTTGGGTCTTGCATCTTCTGCCATCATCCATGGAACTCTGATAGGCTAACTTGCTAGTTTGAAGGTAGGATAAAAATCTCAGACTCCTTATAGTTCTTGATCCTGTCTTTATGATTTGTTATTTTATACTTACATTGAAATGGCCTATTTCTTTATATGTCTATTATATCTTAACACAAATGGCATATTTCTCCTGTCTTGAAGTCTATGCATCACTCATTATGCCTCAGCTCCAGTTGCTTTGTACAATTATGAACTTTTCTTTTAGTTATCCTGATGGGCTCCCAAAGTGAAGTTCGTAGCCTTTATTTGACAGCAGACTATCTCATTTGTCCTCAGGATTAGGTGAGAACTCATCCTCAATTTTAACTGTATTGAAATGTGAAAATGTTTTTATTTGCATTGCTCCATAGAACCTCTAAAATTAATTTCAAGGGGTCCACATATTCAATATTTTAAATCAAGTGATCTCAAACATAATCCCATATTTTATTAACATCTATAGAAATGGCTTTGAATGACACAATGAAAAGTTTCTTTTGTTTATAGATTTCTGCCATATTTTGCCTATATTCATTCACTTCTGTGTATATCTTAACCCCTACGTCTTTTTTCTTTTGAACTATTTGTTAATTCATTTGTTGCAAATCTTCATTCCTCATTTTAGTCATAGTATTTCATGGTGTAAATTTGCTTTTAATTGCAGCTTTGACCAGGTTCCATAGATTTTAATATATAGTATCGTCATTATCATTCTTTATATATTTGATAAATTCAGTTTGGTATATTTAATAACCCACAATTTATTTAGAAGGGTATTTAATTTTTAAGTGCTTCATCAATATCAAGAACAAAATCATTTTTGTGATAACCCTTATGATGCAAAATGAAAACATTACCATACTTTACTTTCTCACTCAAATCTTGGTTTTATTTTCATGTAATCTAAGATTATAATTCTGGTTTTTAAAATTCTCACAATGTCACATATCTTATTTTCCAAAAATTAACATTGTCATTTTTACAACCATATATATAACAATTTTTAAACCTTTAAAAATTGATTCAATGTCTACCCTCAGCCAGTTATATTATTATTTTCTTATTCTTTAAATCTATATTTTAACATTTTGGAGCCCAACAGGGCTGAGTTTAAGTCCCAGCTCAGTGGCCATTTACTTTTCTTTGTGTAAATAATAGGCAATCTCCAAAAGAGCAAAACTGTCTTTTATTAGTGGTCAATGGCACTAGGAATCATTCCTTGTGTAGATAATAGGCGATCTCCAAAAGAGGAAAACTGTCTTTTCCTAGTAGTAATGGCGCCAGTGGGGCCTGAGAGAGGAGTGTCATCACACACTCACTGTCTTTTCAAGAACAGACCTGCTTCTTGGAGGAAAAGCCCCCATAAGTTGTCTGCTGTTTTTAAACACCCCGGGCATAGCCTTGATATCTTCAGTCCACAACTGCCAAAGGAAACACCTTCTGCTCTGAAGCTCGCCTTCACCTCCAATCTTCTGCTCTCCAAATGAGATGGTCTTTATAATATCTTGAGTTCTTCTTCCTGGATCCCACGAGGCCACCCCTGTCTCACATAGAAATGAATGGCAACTTGCCCCTGAGTGTCCCTTCTCAGCATGGTTTCACTGTCATTATTGCTCTTGGGAAATCCTCGAAAATTCCACCGTGAGGAGGGTATCTTCCTCAGACATTTTTCTCTTACAGATTTCTCACTCCCCGTTCTCACGTACTCTTGGTTATGTCCATGGTTATTTGAGGAACACTCATATGTTTGTATATGCAAGACATTCTACTCAGAAATCTACATTACTTTACTTTTCCTTGCCTTAATGCCCTGTTATAATTTAAGAGTCAACTAATAATGAAAAAGGACAATATACCTTTTTTCAGGTAATAGTAGTCATCATTTGGAACTGATCATTGCGCTAAGTGCTTTGTATATGCATTATGTGAGGGAATTCAAAACCACCTGTGGGTACATATATGTGTTATTCATATTTAACAGACAGAGCATCTGAGGACTTGAGAGATTGTGTCATTTTCCCAAGGCCACATACGTTATAACTGGCAGATAATATCGCCAGATAATTACGAGGAAATATACAGCAAGGAACATGTAAGCAGAAAAGAGATTTAACACTATTAGAGATTTAAAAAGGAAGGAGGCCACTGTGCATTCGAGGAAACTGGGAAAGGAAGTGGTCCTAAAATTGCACCAACAAGGGTTATGTTTGGAATTACAAAAAAGAGAAAGATGTGTATCCACTGTTTAGACAGAAGGGATGGAAAGCCAGCTATAAGTTAATTTCCCAATGAAGAGCAAGTAAAAGACTGATGCAGCTCTGGCTAAGGAGGGACTGGGCTGAGGAAGATGAATTCCCTTCTCTGATAATCATCTCTGAAGATGCAGGAGCTGGAGAGGATGCAATCAAGTCATGGTTTGAGGAGGCTAAATGTACAGGATGAATTAGCCATAAAGACAAAAGTTGTGAAAACACTTAGGAAGCCTTTGTGTGGAGAAGAGTCTGAACCAAGACAGTGGCCTTAAAAGTAGGGGAGACATTATAAAGGAAAACTCAGGAGTCCTTGTGGGATGATCAGTAATGGGGTACTGGAAGACAGGAAGAATCAAAGATGGACTTCGTAAGACACAAGAGCTGATAAAACATTAAAACACTCAGTCCAATGTCCTCACTTTATAATAGGAGAAGCTGCAGTTGGGAGGGGAAATGCTTACCGAGTCTCCCGGCCTGTGAGTAAGAAGGCTTCATCACCACCAGCCCAATACTCTCTGCTGCCTCACAGAAATACTTGTGTTAACGTCATTCTAAGATCCAGAATGTGGTGAAATGAAATGTATAAAATTGAAGTAGTTCCCCATTTGCTACATCTTTCACAACAAATGCAGCTCTACAGCCTTCCTCACTGTATCTCAAGCCCCACTACAGTTCCCACTACAATGCCTCAAATTTTCTACGTAGTTAGTATTTTAAACCATCTATAGTTTAGTTTCCCTCATCTGAATATGGCCAGGGAAACGCTTTACATAGTACATGAGAACGTTTCTCATATGTATCCAAAGAAGAAAATGTGTAACATATGTATCCAAAGAAGAAAATATATATCCAAAGTGTATTTAGTTAGATATAAGATAAAGATGAAAACAGGACAATTTTGAGCCACCTGACTGAGGATTGGCAGTAGGCAGGTTGTCTTCTTAGTTTTGTTGTGTGTTTATGAACAGGATTTAAATGGCAGATAGCTAAAATACATGATATTATTTCTTAGGTACAAAATAATAGAGCTATGACCTCTCATAAACCAGTCCTAGAGAATGAGGGCTGATAAAGTGGTATGGTATTCAGTGCACTGGAGTTTTCTAAGCACCAGTAATAGAAGGTGAAAGAATCTCTGCACCTGACTCCACACACAACTCACTAAAATCAAGGAGTATTTATGGAATTCTTGAGGCCTGTAAAGCATTTTTTGAAGTGCTGTGGGGCGTTTTAAGATGTACAAAGCAGTGTGTCTGTCCCATGAAAATTTTGGACCTAGTTCTATTCATTCACTGGAAAGGCCATGAGGGAGAAAAATGTTCTTTCAGACTCTAAAGTAAGTAATGAGCAAAGAATAAAGCAAGAGATAAAAGATGGTGTGTCTTCATGTGACTAGGAAACTTTGAAATTTCTGCTTTTACTTAAAACCATACTCATTCTCATAAGCCCCTTAAAAGTGAATAAGAAAGAAAATATTTTACAGTTAGATATTTAATGTCTTCCCAGTGTAAAATGAAACTATTTCTATGGTATTTCATTAGCCTGCTTCATAAGAATGAAAGATTAGGGAGATTTCACTGTTTTATTAAGTACAGCTCCGGAATAGCTAAGGCAGTCATGGGCAATAGCAAAATCTGGCAGAGATGCATATAAACTAGGCAATCATATTAATAGATGTTTCAAAAATTGGATTTCTCTTCTCTATTATATTTTACTTAATTTTTCATGATTAATTCTCCCTCTTGCACACACACAAGGTTTACATTCTGTTAGCTTAGTCATGTGTTAAGAAAAATGGAAAATGGGTGGTCTTATTGGGAAAGGGAAGTGGTGATATTTTCAAATACAAAGAAACAAAATATGTAAGTAGTGAAAAATGTGGTGGACAAGGTGCAAAGATTCTTGGAACTTTTCTGCAAGTCTTCAGGAAGCAACCTCTATATTCACAATGATGTTTCTGTCTTGTCAGCATTTTTTCTTTATTTGTGTTGGACTTTATGACATATCTAAGAATAATAAATAATTTATAAGATGCAATAATGGCCTGGTACATTTCTGGCAGATTTAGAAAAAAATCTTTTCCAATAACTCATTTGATAAACTCTTCAGTTCTTTTCTCTAGAACATTTCACACAACAATGCTTTGTTTTAAGCGTTGTCTATCAATGAGTGGCAAAGCATTCATTATGTATTCAAGCCTACTTTTTTGTCAATCTCTTTCTTGCTTCCTTTTATTTTTCCCATTTAAGTGGTATTTTTCTGGGAGCAATCTGATTTTGGGGATGTAAAATAAAATTAAGCTAGAAAAATATTAACTCTTTAAAATCACATGGAAAATGACAGTCTCTCAAAGCAATAATCAAACATCAAAATACAATGTGATTTAATGCATATTTTATCATTTGCCTACTCATCCCTACCCAGATGCATATACATGGCCATGTAGCTGTTAGACTGCTGGGCTAAGAAAACGGGAATATAAACAATAGAAATTTCCATGTTATTCCTGAGAAATAAGAATCTTTTTGTCTTACCAGGGATTGAATGAATATATATGTACATATGTATACACACACACAAATATATATATACACACATATGTGTGTGTGTGTGTGTGTATATATATATATATATATATATATATATATATATATATATATATATATATATAGTTAGCTTAGTCATGTGTTAAGAAAAATGGAAAATAGGTGGTCTTATTGGGAAAGGGAAGTATATATATATACTTAAGGAGTTGTCTGGCCATTATCCAAAACTAATGCAGTATGTGATTTCTCTCCTCTCTTCACTTTTATAGTTTCTATGGATAATCTCAAACTAGGTGGCAGGGGATCAGAGACGGTTCTTATTCTTATTTCCTATCCTGCAATGTGGGTAGCTTAGCCTGCTGTCCTTTGTGATTAAGGTCATGTTCACACTGTGCTGTCAGCATGTTTAGTGCTGAAGAATGTGTTTCTAGGTAGAATTCTAGGTGCACTAGTGATGCATGTTTTTTGTTCTTTCTCGACCTGTTTGTTACCAAGAATTTCACTTCAAAACTGGCCAGCTGCTATTTGGCCATAGACCCAAGATTTTACATCTCTAAAGTAACTAGAGTTTCTCATGAATGAGAAGGTTCGGGCAAAATATGAATGAAGACAGAAGGGAAAGGCAGCTATATTTAAAGATGACTATGAATCCCAGTGATCATAGGGACATGTGAGGTTAGCAGATTCACATTTAAGAACAAAGGAATGCAGGAAAAGCAGTGAACAGGTGGCTGGCTCCCTTTAAAACAATTCCTAGTTCTTCAGAAGTCAATATTAGCTACGATGTATTCCAGTCATAGATAAGACTTACTAGTTTCATTCCAGGAATGACATAGAAACAAAGACTCTGTACCTCTCTGAAAAGATGGAAAGTTTCTCTTCTTACCCTCAACCATGTACTCTCTTGGGGGCACAGAGAAATCCAATATCTGATCCTTAAGTTCGAGGTTTGGACCTATATACTCATTCCTCAAATCAAAGATGCCATTTATTCTAAGGTGTGCCATTGAGTAATAATTGTTTTTCACACATGCACACAAAGTCAACACTAGCAATATTAAATGTAATATCCAATTAAGAGGTATTTTAGCCACAAACAGTATAATTTTAAAACGTGCTGCTTAGGATTAAGATCAGTTGTTAGTCTCCAGACACAGACATTTTAACTTGAATGCCCCTTATTAATGACATAGGCTCTTTTTTTTTTTTTTTTTTTTTCAGATAGAGTCTTGCCTTGTCGCCCAGGCTGGAGTGCAGTGGCATGATCTTGGCTCACTGCAACCTCCACCTCCTGGATTCAAACAATTTGCCTGCCTCAGCATCCCCAGTACCTAGGATTACAGTTGCGTGGCACCATGCCTGGCTAATTTTTGTATTTTTAGTAGAGACAGGGTTTCACCATGTTGACCAGGCTGGTCTTGAACTCTTGACCTCAAGTGATCCGCCCACTTCGGCCTCCCAAAGTGCTGGGATTACAGGCATGAGCCACTCCACCTGGCCTGACATAGACCCTTATTCATTTATGTATGCATGCATGCATTGAGTCCCTTCTGTTTGTAAGCTCTGCTCTAAGTGTTGGGAGGATTTAAAAAATAAATTAAACTTGACTCCTTAAATACCTTACGGCTTAGAAGGGGACAGATAAAATTATGTTAAGTATATTCCAAGCTGAAAATGGAAGTATCCAAAGCATGGTTGAGAAAAAAACAAGTGCTTGAGAAACAAATTCTAAGTTTTGGTTATTTATCTTAGAAGGCTACTTCTAGTTTGGCTGGGGAAGGGAAGGGAATGGATGAGGACAATCTTCATAGGGAAAGCAGCATTTTCTTTTCCTACACTGTGACTAATGAGTAGAATTTTCTATGTAACATTTTCACTGTAATGATTCCAGTTACCTTTAAAAGTGAATTTCATCAAATCATTGTGCATTGCATGTTTTCAGCCTGAGCTTTACATAATTTATCAAAATGCTATTCATAGTTTCTAGTTGTGTTGTCAGGTGCTGGGCTTTATTTTTATGATGCTATCTTACCATTAGACTATCATTGAACCTGCCTTCTTTAAACACAGATTTACCAAGCGCCCGAGTGTGCTGGTGCTCTGGGTAACTGCGATATAACGAAATCAAAAATATGAGTTTTTTCTTAACCTTGTTTAGGGATTTTGGTTGTGAATTTAAAAGATAAGTAATGACTTAAGACAGTATGTAGTAATAAGAGCTAGCTAGGAAAACTGGAGGAAATACTAAATACTGCAGGAAGGGAAAAATCCATGTTTTCTGGGAAACAATGTTTCATAGACTGTATCTACCAAGAAAGGAAAAAATGTAAAAAGTAAAGAGGTGAGGATGTTCTGTGTCTGGGGATCAGTAAGTTGATCAGCTGGTGGGAAATGTGTTTATGTTGAGATATAGGAAGAGAATTACATAAAAATCAACAATTTTGTGTTGAGCACTTGCCATTTCTCAAGAACTTTCCTAGGCCATGGAGATATATAAAAGTTACTAAGATATTATTTTGTTCCTTAAGACACCTCCAATCTATTAGGAATGACTGCCAAATCAGTAGATAATATCAATATTTTAAATAGTTAGGAAGAGGGGCTCCCCCACACACAAAGAGGACCGCTGAGGACCTTGGATCAGGGAAAGGTGTTTGCAAAGCAGTATTATCGGGAGCAAAGCGATGAATGCCAGATGTAAGGAAAGAGCTAGGAAATGAATGCAAAATCTATTTGTAATGTTTATTTATTTTTCTATTAGATACGACTATTAATATATGAATAAGATACCCTGTATATAACATTCTAACTAAACACTACCTTTAAGTTAAACAGCACGTTTAATCGTCTGTTTTCAGCAGAAAACTATTATATATAAACCAACTCAAGTAAAGCTCACTCTTGGAGTATACATTTTCTACATTTTTGGCTGACATTTCTAGGTCCCTGAGCAGATCTTATTAGCTTGGTGATTTTAATCTCTGCCTTTAAAAAATGAAGGTCTTTCACTCTGAATTCCTTCAGTTGATTTATACCTTCCTTATCCTTTTCATCATGCTGCTGCCTCCCCAGGAATATTAAAAAGTGATTATTGGGCTTGAGCAACACCACAGGCTTCCTTTTGATTTAACAGTCAAATATACACAGGATTTCGTGATCATTTTAAAATTACTTGTAAACTGTATTTATATGCTAAGCTCTTGAAACTGAATAAGCAGCTTCTTGGCCTTGAAAGGAGATTGATGCCACTGTATTTTTTGTCACTTTAGGCAATATTACTTCGAGTGTTTATCGACTGTGGCCCTTACCCAACTACAGTTCATTTAGGCTTGAAAGGAGGCTCTGGAAATGGCACTATCAGTTCTTTTCTGTGTTACATATTCCTAGTTTACAAATAAGCTGACATTTATATTAATCAGTCCTCTAGAGCAACTGTAGCTGAGGAAGGGCTAATACATCATCCCCAAATTGCTACCCAAGTTCTATTCCAAAATCTTTATTGCTGCTGCTGATAAATGGAATAAAGCAAAATAAAAATTTGGAATTTTCAGTGTTCTGATAACTATTGGGAAGACGATGTTACGCAATTGTAGATAAATTTTGAAATCTGCATATATTTAAATAGTTTTGATGAACCAATAATGATGACATGTCATAAAATGCATATTTATCGTGTTTTCCCAGAAGATTATTTTAGATGAATATGAGGTTAATAAGCCCCCTTTTTGGCCCTGGAGTGGCTTCAGGACTCATTGCCCAAGTCTAAGAATGTACAAAACTATATAGCAATGATCAAACTACTTACTGATATTTGGGATGATATTCATTGGCTTACGTAGGCATTTTTCACAAAGGCTTTACATTTCAATTGTCTTATACGAAGTGAAATATCACAGCCAAAAGATAAAAAACCTTCTAACAGAGTCTGAGAAATGTAGGCTTGTTCCTACAGATCATAATGAAGGTAAGACATACAGTAGACTGGTCTTCAATCTTTTAGAGCACTGGAACTTGGGACTGTCTAATGATGTGAAAGCAGGATGCTTAAATCTGTCCATGAGCCTCTGAAACATCACCATAATTAAGTTTCAAGGCTGCACTCCATAGATCACTGAAACAGATATTAGGGTTGAAAAGGTCTCATTGATATGAATGGCACAAGCCATCTAGATGCCCAAGCAGAGATGACAACTTAAATATCATCCTTTGATTAACCCTGAAAGGAATACATCTACCGGGAGGGAGTGAGAGGCCACCTGAAAAAAAGAAAGCTACTGAAAAGTAGGTGGTTCTTCTGATGAAAAGCAGGCTAACAAAGAATAAATTGCAAGACAGGGCAGGAGAATAAAACACAAAGACAAAGAGATGGTATTGCATATATGTAAATACAAGGCCTGAAGGAAAAACAAACAAGCAAAAGAAGTCGTATATTAAACTTTAGGATGCACAACTCTTGTCACCAAGGTCTGCTGAATCTTCTTTCAGACTCCTTTGGGGAAGCTTGCAACTACTACTTTACCAAAATAGCACCTAACTTAAAAAACTATTTCCAGCTACACCTAAAGCTTCAACCTAGCTTCAACTAAAACTGCTTCATCCCACGCTAAGCATGGAGAGACAGGATCGTTATAAAGGAAACATCTAGACTGGAAACAGAGAAAGTCTTTATTTGTGCTTCAGTAGTTGCTTGTTTTTTCTAATATAAGCTTTGCAAACTTGAGCAATTTCTTTAACCCACCTGAACCTCAGTTTCCATTTGTGAGAAAGGTGCAATATTCCTGCTCATCTTGTGCATTAGTGAATATGAATGGGGATTTGAAAACTGCAGTATTGTGCAAACTGAAAATTATTGCTATTAAGAATCAATTTGTTCATAAAGTAATTTTTACTGGGAAGATATTATATATATTAGGAATACCAATGAGAATAACTAACAAATAACTTGATCTTTGGCTTCAACCCATGTCTTTAAAGAGAGTCATTGTATTTATTTCTTTTGCATTGGGTTGACACCTCTAGGTATACGGCCTGAGAGTCTCTCTGGAACCCAGGGACCTTGTGTCTGCAATTTTTAGCACTTGCCACCAGATGGCACAGTGTAGCAAGTAAACACCAACTGACTGCTCCTCAGGTAGGGAAATTGTGCTCCTTCAGCACAGGGAAAAATGATTTATGGAGACATGCTCATGATGGTTATTTTCATGCTGTGCACACTATTTTTAAAAAGCAATAAAAGTAGAATTCTATTGAAACGAATGTGCAAACAACCCATATATCAGGCCATATTTGTTTTCTGTGTCTTATGCATTTTTTTTTGTGTGTTTTTTTTTAAAGGGGTGAATGATTCTATGGTTAGCTCAGTGCCCAGCTTCTCAAGTGTTTCTGCTTTGAGTAAAAGTACTTATGTAGTTCAAGATGATCTTGTGTGATCATAATTGAATTTATACTATGTAGAGTTTGCTGAGTTTTGCTGTCTTTTCAACCTTAGAGGTGCAAATATTTCCCCATATGCCTTGCTTAAATAAATCTATTTTATTTATTTATTTTATTTATTTATCTTGCTGTCTACATTGTATATAATTCAAAAGAAATTCAGATGTTACTCCAGAAGCCTTCAATACTGTTATAAATCTGTTTTGAACTCTCTTGAAGCGGCAAGAAAGTGGCACCAGCATGGGTGGAGAAGATTTTTTTAAACAAGAGCAGCCTTTCCAAACTCTTTTCTGTTTCCCTCAAAACTTTGATCCTCTCCTCTTTCCTCTTACATTCCATATCTACTTTTCTTCCCCGCCTGCCTTCCCCCAAATAGCACCTTTCTCTCTTAGGTCTTAGTTTTTTTTCTAGTCCTTTCCAAGGTAATTTTCATCAGCACTATTAAACCTGAGGTGAGTGGTACAGCATACGATTCTTCTTAGGATGATTTTTTTCCCCTTAATGTGGCAATCTAAGTGGTTGCAGGTAACAAGTGACTAGAACAATCCAAGTTGTTGGAAGTTATGGTCATGAAAAGTCAATTAAGTCTTAATGTCATCCAGAAGTCCACTTTTCCCACATTGCCAAATTCATCAATCCTGGTGTTTAGGAATCAGCTCCTTCTGAACCATGTGAGCAATAGAGGGTTCCCCTCTTCTGGGCTCTGTCACAGTGCCCTATGATACGTTGCTTTACATGGCTTAATATCCTTTAATATGTGCATGTATCTCATGGCCTGATATTGTTTAAGAATGTGCTTGCTGCAAGTAACAGGAAAGCTAGTTAAACTTACCAAGGCCTAAAATATGGAGTTTATGTTTCATACCCAATAAGGAGTCTAGGACAACATGGGCAGCTCTACATTTCATTTGGAAAACTCTTTCATGATAACAAGATGGCTACATGAATGTCAAGCACAAGCCGAGTCTGCTGTTTCATCAGGAATGCTCATTATCCCCAGAAGCCCTGAGCAATTTCTACCCAAGTTTCATTGGCCAAAACTGGACCTGTGACCATTCTGGGTAGCAAGGGCAACTCGGATTGTGAGATGAGCTCTTAGATCAAAGGACCAAAAGACTAGGAAAGGGCCAGGTTAGCTAGCCAATCATCACTGCTAGATTCTCTGCACAAGAGACTGCCAATTAGCCTCCAACATTTGATAAAAGCCTCGAATTTTAACTGAGCACATGAGTTCCTAGAATAAGAGCCTCTCCCACCTTCTCTTGTAGCTCAGAGTGGCCACTTGACTATTCTTACAGAGAGATATAAATATAAATGTATATATGCAAGTCCAAAAAAAGCCATACCATTTTTGGCTTCAGTTTTTATTCTTGGCTTTCTTCTACTCTATTTCTCTTTCTACTGTCTCAAAATCAGATGTGGTGGCTGGAGAAACCATCATGGATTACATGGTGGGTCTTCAGAAAGAAAATTGCTTTTAGCAGGAAAACCAGACAGTAGGAATCTGGGTTGCTGACACAGTACGGAGGATTATATCAGCATTTGACTGTTTGCCTGGGTTTTATTAGAGAGAAATAAACTCCACATTGTTGTAGTGGGTTGAACTGTGGCCTCAAAAATATGTTTCCACATCTTAATTCCTGGGACCTGTGGATATAACCTTATTGGGGTGGGAGTGGGTGGGAAACCTTTGCAAATATAATTAAGTTAAGGATCTCAAGATGAGATCATCCTGAATTTTCCAGGTGAGCCCTAAATCCAATAACAAGTATTTTTATAGGAGTCTTACAAGGAGAGTCACACAGAAAATAGAGGAAGGGACGCAAACACACAGAGGAGATGGAAAGGTGCACAGGGAGCAGAGATTTGGGTAATACAGCCACGTGGAATGACGGAAGCCACCAGAAGTTGCAAGAGGTAAGGAAGACCTCTCCCTCAGAGTCTCTAAAGGGAGCCTGGGCCTGCCAACACCTTGTATTTAAATTTCTGACCTTCAGGACCGTGAGAGAACACATTTCTGTTATTTAAAGTCACCAGCTTTGTGATAATTTTGTGCAGCAACACTAGGAAATAGATATACTTTTTTAAGCTACTACTTTTTCTTAGTTTTCTGCCATTCATAAAGTAATCTAATGCTAAATAACATTTTCGCAAACTATATTGTAAACATCTTTAAATCAAAGATTGCATCTCATAATTATTTATATCTCCTACATAGACTAGAAGAGAGTGTGTGTATGTGTTATTACTAGTGGCACTACTTTTGCATTGCTATCCATTCATAAGGGATTTGGCGTTTAGTAGATACTGCTAGTTTCAAATAAGGCTTGGAAGAATTTCAAGAATTATCATTATTATTGCCTAGCAAAATACATAAGCTAAAGCAAAAGATAGGTGAAAGGTAAGTAAAACCTAGAGTGACACATCTAAGTTTTGGATATGCTAATATGTTGCTATCTATTGCAAGGTTTAGTTTATACTGTGAATGGATTAGACATTTTTTTTTACTCATCAATATTAAATAAAAACCCAGCAGGTTGTCTGTTGTACTTATATTTAACCTGCTTCCCAAGTTAATTGGTTTCCTTCCAGTTTTAGCATCTTGAAGACTTCCTCAGTTTTCTGTCATGCTGGTTTGTGGCTTATTTCACTTAAATACTAATTCACATTTTTGTTGGCTTGTTTTCATTGTAGTACTCAACTAGGTATAGAAATAGTCAATTAGGGCAACCTGATAATTTGCAGAAATGAGAATTTGAGAGTTCTACTGACTTACTGGCCTTTATGAAGGTCACATAAAGTATGAGAAACTTTGAAAGACTTGTCTTAGATTCAAACCTGATTTTGCCGTTGAAAAGCTGAGTCAGGGTCTCAACTGCTATATATGTAAGGGAGGAATATGTATGTACATACACACACATATAAATACACATATATCATATGTAAAGTATTTACTATGAACTAAGTACTTTTCATAAATTACATTATTACATTCTTGTCTCAGTTCTGAAAGGAAGGCATTACTATACACTATCATCAGAGAAAGCTCAGAACCTTGTTTAAATCATTTGCCCAAGATCAAGCACTAGTAAGTAGCAGAACCAGGTCCAACTGACTCCAAAGCATGATGCTGCAAATTTATTCTTAAAATTTTATCTTGGGAAAACATTATTGATTTACCATTTTGTAGAAAGATGAGCTATCACAGGCTTGATGCTGCTAGATAATTACTGGCTTTTCTTTTTTGGAATATGTTCTTTGTGACTATGCCTACTTTACATCTTGTCAATTTAATCCTATCTGCAGATTCTTGGGATTTATCCCATTACTGCCTATCTCTCATTAGAGAATATGAAATTTAAAACTCAATGAATGTTCCCTAAAGCTTGTGACTATTAAACATGGACAATAATTAATTTGTATTTGCTGATATTACTTTTAAAACTACTTGTGTATTTGAAATCTTTCAAAGTCATATTATTGGTTTAACATGTCTTTCCAAATATACATATTTGTATATTATATAATATGTATATTTTCAAAATTAAACAATGGAATTGTTTATGCCACTTCTACTTAATGCACAGACCTTCAACTCTAAATGATGCAAGGTCCATGGTAACCATATTTGGAAGAAAGTTTTGATAGGATAAAATTTCTCCAGGCAACCAGATGAGCAGCAGATCCTTTTCTTGGTGTTCTGGGATCTTGTTCACTGTGCTGAGGGCCATGGTACTTCTGCTTACCTGTGCTCATCTGCCAAGCACACCTTTCAAGATAACAGGAGGAAACTTAAATCCCATCCTTTTCTGAAAATGAACCATACTTGAAGTGCTGGAGATTTTATTTCAAAGAAAAATGGCTACTTCATTCCAGTGCCACACATGAATCCAAAAACCATTTACATCTAGAGACAGCTAAGTGGATAGGAACTTTCATGAAATTAGACTCACCTTTTTCTAGAAATGCAGAAGCAGCCACATGGCTGACAAGATGTTATGTCAAACATTGCAGATGTCCCCTTTCCTTGCAAATATCTCTGTTGGACATTCCAGGAAGTGCAGATTATCAAATGCCAGCTATTTGGAATGCATTCATTTCCTTTTGATTGTCTTGGATATAACTCATAAAATGCTACTGAAAGTCTACACTAATATTTAAATTGTCCAGATCTCCAAGAGTTCAGCTGTCAGGCTAGTAATTGACATACACTCTACCAATGTTTGAATCAATTTATATTAAAAAAATAATGTCTTGTGCCAGTCTAGGTAATTTAAATTTCTATAAAAGAGGACACTAAAAAACTCCCAAATTCTTTAAAGAAATTAAACATTGAAAGGGTTAAGCCTATTAAAAAGTAAAGTGGAACTAAAAACAGACAAGATGCTAGGCCATTCATACATAGCCCAAGGTGGTTTATGGGAAGGACGAATGGCTGTCTGGATAACAAGGGGCTCTCTTTGCCCTAGTGCCAAGTTAGTCCTGAGGAGGGCTCTTCAGGGGGGGCACATTCATTCTTTAAGGCACTAGGAACTCATTTAGTACCCTAAAATGAACTCATTATTTCTTAAAAGCCATGCTGCAGCCCACCTAAAAGTCTTTTATACAGAATCCCACAGTTTAAACTAATTAAATTCTGCATTATTTAGTTTAATGCACATCATTAAAGTCATTTTTCTTCCTTTGGAGTGTGGAGAATTCAAGTAATAATAATGCCTTGTATTTGTAAAGAATTTAACTTATAAAGCTTTTTTCCTCAATTATTATCCTGCCTGACCCTTAAAGCAAGCATATGAAGTTTCCTGTGTATGCAGCAATTCTACAACAAACTACATAAGAGCAAGGGCCAAATCTGTCTTATTCCCTATGAGTACTCGTATCTAGCGGGGGGCCAGGAATGATGATGCAAAAAACACCCAACGCTCACTATTTACCAGGCACTACTCTAACCATTACAACTCAGTTAAATGAGTTGATTTACAGTAGAGTCCTAAGAGGCAGGTAAAAGGGCTGAGTAACTTGACCAATGTCTTGCAACAGGACGTGTGGCTCTCCAAAGTGTCACCTGTTGGCCACTGTGTTCCACCGTGATAATAGCACAGGATAGAACACAAACCTTTGTTGCATGAATGAAGAAATGCAAGGATATGGTGGGCAGACACAATATCATTATTCCCAGTTTAGAAGTAAGGGCACTGAGGCTCAGAGAGAGCATCATTTTCTGTCATACAGCTGGAAGTTGTGCAGCTGGACCTGAATAGGTCATCTGATCCTAGCCCAGTGGTCTTTCCACTGTGTTATTTCTGCTTCTCTCTACTTGTCCATTTACAAGCCACCTTTTAAAAAAATTAGTTACTTCTTTTAGATATTTTAGCTTGTGAGTTTTTTGAAGCTCTTTATGGCACAGGCTCAGTACACTGGATTTTTATTCTGTGAGGCTAATGCTGACTTCCTCAGATATCAGAGTGGCCCACAGACTCCTCAGTGCAGAACAACTTTCTTAATTCTTATCAAATATGTTGAAATAGATCCAATGGTAGGATCTCAAAGCCTCTCTTATTTGGCACCATCTGTATCTTTAACTCAATTCAATGTTGCCTGGGAACAAGAAGTGATTTAACTTTTTGAAAATAAATTGAAATTTTAAAAATGTATTTGGCAAAGTATTTGTTAATCTTTCTATCCAAAGGGGCATTTTAAATTTCCAAATAAATTCAACAATGCAACCATAAACCACATGGGATCCTTACTGGGATTTAGAAGACCAGTTTCTGAGACAGGATGAGCTTGGTTATTGAGGAGGGAAAAGCTCTTTCCCTGTATGTATATTTTCAAAATTAAACAATGGAATTGTTTATGCCACTTCTACCTAATGCATAGAGACCTTCAACTCCAAATGATGCAAGGTACATAATAATTATATTGGGAGGGAAGTTTTGATAGGACAGAATTTCTCCAGCTAGCCAACTGAGCGGCAGATCCATGTCCTGGTATTCTGGCATCTTATTCACTGTGAGGCCCATGGTGCTTCTCACCTGTGTCCTTCTGCCAAGATACACAGCACAAAGGAGAATTTGAATGTTGGTCTCAGAATCACTATTTAGAAAGACTCAGTGATTCTGCCATTTGTAATGGACCACACTTAATTGAAGATTTATGTCTCTAGGTACAAGTTTCAATGTTTGAAAGGCAACAACAACATTCCATGTTTTTGGTTTCTTTCTCTGCAGCAAAATGTGAACAGACAGCAAAAGTCTCTGGCTCCAAAGTCCCTAGTCTCTAAGGAAAGCAAAAACAAAATTCATTTTCCCGTGTTGTCAGCTTAGATTAGCAGTAAAACACTGAAGACATGGCCTGTGGACCATTTTTGTGATGGGGAAGATATCAAAGAATGAAAGAGGGACTCAGGAACAGTGTCTAGGGCTTTGTGGGCAGAAAGGGCCTTCTAGTTCCCTCTCACTCTCCGCCATCCTGCATCTCATGTCAGCCCTGCTCCTCGTGACAGGGTCCATGATCTGAGGAGAAGTGGGTCAGGAGATCAGGATGAACAGGGAGAGTTGTTTACCTGAAGTGGCCAGAAACAACGTAATTCATGGGAAGAACTAACTCCATGGCTGGGAAACCAGGCAGTAGCACTAGTTAGAATTGCATCTGTGGGTAAGCCTTTTTCCCTGTACACTTTTTACCTCTGGTGAAAAGTGGTGAACTGTCCTGTGTCCCTGTTCATATCTAGGCTACTCACTCTATGCTGCACCCAATTTCATTTCTTCTCACCTTCTCAAGGCTTCTGCTCCTTCCTTCATTTATCACCTGTCCTTCATCTATCTCTCATCTCTCTTTCATCTCTCTTTTTCTCTCTTATCTATTTCTCATACCTCTCTCCCCCTGCTCTTCCTTTACTTTCTCTCATCTCTTCTAGGTTAACCCCACCAGCTTACTAACAAGCTGCATTATCTCTAATCTAAGCCACAAAATAAACTAAAACAAACCTCCCTTCACCCCATGTGTTCCTCTAGCTCTTACCCGTTTGCTTCCTTTTATAGTAAAAATCCTCCGAAGAGATGTTGATACTTGGTACCTCCTCTTCCTCACCTTCCCACATGGGCTTACCCCAATCTAGTTTGTCCCCAATACTCCATTAAAACAACTCTTGCTAAATTGCAATCACCTCTGTCACCAGGATCAGGGGGCTAATATCAGATGCAGGATGGCAAAGAGAGAGAGAATGAGAAGGTCTTTGGAATCCCAGTCTCTGTCCTGAGTTCCTCCTATTTCAAGATATCCTCTCCATAGCAGAAATGGTCACCAGGACACATCTTCAGTGTTTTCCATGGCCTTTGTGTTGCCAAATCTGATGATCAATTCCAAGCCTATTGAACTTAATCTATCACACAGTATTTGATGCAGGTGTTTGCTTTATCTACTTTAGTATATTTCTTCCCTGGCCTTTGAAGGACAACACTATCCTAGTTTTTGTCCTACCATTCTCTTTGCTGGTTCCTTCTCTTTTTTTTTTCTAAATGCTGAAAGACTCATTTCCTCTCCTTGGTTCCCCTTCCCCTCCTCTCTTCTCCGCTCACCTCTGTCTTCAAACCCAGAGTTGGTAATGATGCTTGCCTGGAAATGAGAACTGTGAAGTAAAGGGAGTTGTATTCAGTCTCAGCATGTTGCTTTGGGTGCTCCCAGGTCACAGGCCATCTGTAACATGGCATCAGAAGACCTAGGCAGCTACAGTTAGAGTGTGATTGTTTCCCAGCACGCATACAGAACCAGCAATCCAGCACTGTGGAGGAAAGTAAAATGAAGCCTAATTATTACTCCTTGTTTCTGATTTACTGAGAGCAAAGCTGTCCACCTACACATTGCTTGATGGACGCCAAGTGTTTTGCAAACTTCAGAGTAGCTTTTTTTGAAACTTACACTTTGATATGTTTCCCATCAGATCGTTTATGTGACAGAATTCTTGTATTGCTTGGAAATCCTCTGTCTTCTCAGTAAATGTACACACAGTACTGCAAAGAGATAAGATAAATACCCAGTCCTACTTTTATTTTGGGGAGGGTAAGGCTGACTTATCATGCAAGTTCACATGAATTTTTGCAACTGTCAAATAATATATTTATAAAAGAAATGTAAGAACCTAAGAAGTCTTATTATAAAGAATGCCCAAATAATGGGCTAATTTTAATTTTATTCGTAAGTTTCCAAACTGTGTATTCACACCTTCTTCAGGGATGCTAACTTGTCACAAAACAGATTCATTTGAATTTTTTATTCATTACCTGCCTTCCAAAGCATACATAAATTAGCTTTAAAATAGCCAAAAGGCTAGAAGTATTGAAGAAGAGGATAAAGAGAATGAATATCCCAGAGCAGGGTTAAGGATGCATTGTGAGCTGGGACCAGTTTAGGGGATGAGTAAATTCCCTGCATCTGACATTCTCATGATGACAGAATAACAAGACGTTCATGTAAGGGATGGACAACCCAGAACAAAGCCCGCATTGTCTGGGGTCTGGTCTAAAAGTCAGAAAATGGGATGAGATGAAGCCTGGCTTTTCCTGATGAGATTTCAAAGTAGCAAAGATAACCTGCACTTAACTATGAGAGAGAGAGGCAGCCTGGTGTGGTGGTAGAGCACAGATTATGGAGACAGGATGCTTGGTCTTCAATATCAGCCTTGCCGCTTATCAACTGTGTGACCTTGAGCCAGTTAGTTAATCTCTCTGTGTCTCACTTTCCTTATCTATAAAATGAGGATAATAACAGTATCTACTTAATAGGGTTGTTAAGAAGATTAATGAGTCAATATACAGAGTTTCTCAACACTGGTACTGTTGGTATTTTCAGCCAGATAATTCCTTGTTGGGGTTGGGTTGGAGGAGAGGTGGACTGTCCTGTGCATTACAGAATATTTAGCATCATCTCTAGCCTCTATCTATTAGATGGAGTAGCAACACCTCCTCTCAAATTGTGACAACCAAAATTATTTCCAGACATTGCCCCTGGTTTTGAACCACAGAGCTAATATTTTTAAAATTCTTAGAGTAGTGCTCAGCATACAATAAGTGCTATGTAAGTATTTGTTAAATAAAACCAATCGTATAACTGACAGCAATATTTTTAAAACAAGTGATAGAAATAAGGCATAAAGATGGGCTAGACATGCAGAGTAGGTGGAAGAAGATAGGCTGTTGGTCTTTCTCAGTTTATGGATTTCACCCTTAACCAGTTATCAAGTCATGATTTATTAAGAAATGATACCCCTATATGCCTGAGAAAATAACTTAAAATTAAATGATTTCAGGGTTGACTCTCTGAAACCCATGACTGCTGCTAGATTGAAACTTCCCTAATAGCCACTAAGAGCCATTCATTCCTCTATACTCATCCTTTGCATGCAGGTGCTCACCTAGGGCAACATCTGTCTTGCCTAGGTGACTTTCCAATTCTCCTCACACACCTAGCTTTGTAGAATCTCACTTTTTGAATAGCTTTTCCTTACTTCTTATTGAAGTCACTCTGTTCTCTCTAAAAGTAAGCAAAGAATCCCAAACCCTGATGCCTCAGGGGCGAAGAAGGTAATCAAAATGGCAGAAGTGGTTCCAGGAAGAGACACGACTGAGTTCCAGCAGTTGGGTAGCATTGGAGATGGACCCAGGTATTCTCTGTAGAACCTCCCTAGAACCTCATGAAGATGTCAAATGCAACTTGATAAAGTATCAAGTGAGTAACTGTGATTTTCCAGCATCTTTTTTTTTCATTAAATTTTCAGAGGATTTTAAACTTGACACCAATATTTCTTTGGAATTTTGAAGCAATTGTGTGGGAGAATTTTGAGTAACTATACAAAGATAATTCTAGTACTGTTTGCTGTACACCCTTGTAGGCCTATATGCCTGAGAAAATAACTTAAAATTAGCATTTGGATAATGTTTAAAATCTACAATCCAGTGGAACAAATGTATTGACACTAATATATAGACATCTTGCTTACTTTGATACAAATAATGTTTAGCCAATATTTTAACTGTGGGTATTAGGGAAGGAATCTTTATTTATAAATGCATTAAGTCACATTGTAATATTTCAAATAGTAAGGACATAGTTTGCATAGTAATCTTTCACTAGCAGGAACTTCATTCATTTTGAATAGTTTGATAGTAACTAATTGTGCAGAACTGATTGTTAAAGCCAAAATAAGCAATTCGATTATGCTATGGCTGATTAGGCCTCGTCATCCAGACAAGATCTCATAGTCAGTAACTGGTCATACATTGTCTATATACACTAAGTAATTTCATAACCTTATAATTATCATGTCCCACACATCTCAACAATGAGAGAATAAGACCAACTCCCCCAGGGTGATAGCATTTATTGATCATACATTAGGTGTGAAACATTATACTAAGCACTTCATGTATATTATTATATTTAAATCTGACAAAAACCTGTGAGATAGGCATCTGTTTTACAGCTGAGAAAATTTAGGCTCAAAGAGGTTAATTATTTTGCCTAATATTACCAGACACTAAGTTGTGTGAATTATTTTAGATCAAAAACTCCCTTATTACACCAGGCTAATTTCCATCTTAGAATTAAAATAAACACAATGTGGACATGTTAGTTAAAAAAATATATATCAGGTGTATGTTTGTATGTATATGTATTTATATATATAAAAATATAAAAATTTATCTCTGTACATACATATATATGTACACATACACACATACCTATTCATTTGTAGGCACTGTAGACACAAATATGTGACAATTATACAGAAAAGCGTAAGTGACTACCATCGTAGGAGATAGAGGGATGGTTAACATACCAATAAGAGTTAGCACCATCTTGGCACAGAAATTTCAGAAGTGAACAAAATTGACACAAGTCTTGCCTTACAGAGCTTACCCTTCAGCAAGAGTGCAAAGCAGTGCTGAAAACAAAAGTCAAAGAAAAGAATCCAAACTTAAAGAAGCCAAAGTCAATCGCTTTAGCCAAATTTACTTAAGAATGTCACCCATTGAAGGAAGGGTTGGATTGGATGTTAACGTTAGGACCAGGCTTCATTTATAATTAAACCTAAGTAAAATGTATGCAGATCTCATTCCATAGCCATGCCTCCATAGTTTAATTAAGATTTAGTAATGATTCATTCTATTATTTTTATAGATAGTTGCTTAAACCTAGAGACATAACTCAAAATCTCAGGATTCTGGTATGCAAAACAAACAGAAACACTTTTTACATAGTAGTTCCTTAACAAGAATCAATTTTTTTAGAGGGTAAAGGAAAAATAAAGAACAGATGCAAATACAGATGAGATGTAACAAAAGGGAAAAATAGATAGACACACAAATACATTTATTCCAGTTGTGTGGTCAGAGAATAATTCCCAATTTGTAAAGAGACAACATAGTCTGAGAGTGCTCAAATTCTATGATTTCTGAAAATTTATGGCCCTCTGCAAGATTTCTACTGCATCCTATTTTTAACTTTACGGACTTCTTGACCTCCCTCTGTGATATACTATTGCCCATAGGACTAAGCCTACTATAACAAGATAAAATAACACAGTAACTTCTCCTATCCATCTCAATAATATGGTGACTTTCAAACCCAGTTATGAGCACCTAAATGTCAGCTCTGTTAAACATTTCACTTCTGATCATTGTAATTGCTGTTAATAAGTTCATTCAGTATAAAGAAAGATAATGACTTGCCAGGACTTGATATTCAATGACAGAAAAAAACCATAAATTTGTATGAATATTCACGTCTTAGTTTGCCTAATTGAGAGTCTTCATATTTTGTAATTGGCTTAAAATACAACCTTTTAAAGAATATACTTGCTGTTCTGGATCCTATGAGTTTTTGGGAAAAATAATGTGAAGGCAGTTTGAATTAATGAAGAAATACATTATAAATGGCTTTCCTTGTTAGTATATTTGGTTTTGAAATTTGAGTCCTTGACTCAAGGGATTTCATCAACAAAAAGTAGTCCATGTTTGCCTTTGATTCAAGTATGTCCCAGTGTATAATTTTATTGGAGATTTGACTCACAGCCTTACCAAATGATTTTAAGGTCTCAGTACATTTAGTTGGTGATCTAGGAGCCAGCAGACAAACTGAAACTTATCATACTGCTCCTGCAGCTCATCAAAGAGAAAATTAGATGGAGCTGATTGATTGAAGTCCCACAAGAAAGAAAAGAAATTTAAAAACAAACAAACAAAAAAATGGTGGAGATACATACGGATAGAGAATATAGTGATACTAAAGAGAAACATGGCATTAGGAGTCCGACTCTACCTTAAATGATGTCATATTTCAATAGAATTGAAAAGCAGGCACTATTCACAATAGCAAAGATTTGGAACCAACCCAAATGTCCAACAATGATAGACTGGATTAAGAAAATGTGGCACATATACACCATGGAATACTATGCAGCCATAAAAAATGATGAGTTCATGTCCTTTGTAGGGACATGGTTGAAGCTGGAAACCATCATTCTCAGCAAACTATCACAAGGACAAAAAACCAAACACTGCGTGTTCTCACTCACAGATGGGAACTGAAGAATGAGAACACATGGACACAGGAAGGGGAACATCACACACCAGGGCCTGTTGTGGGGTGGGGGAAGGGGGGAGGGATAGCATTAGGAGATATACCTAATGTTAAATGACGAGTTAATGGGTGCAGCACACCAACATGGCACATGTATATATATGTAACAAACCTACACGTTGTGCACATGTACCCTAAAACTTAAAGTATAATAAAAAAAAGAGAGAGAGAAAAAAGAGAAGCAGGAAATATTGTCAATAGATAAATGAAGTATAAAAAAGGTCAATTATCTATAAATTAACCTTGTGTTATGATTTGTTTATGTATCAGTCTGTCTCTCCCCATTGGATGATGGGCAGAAACAATGTCTTCTTCATCTTTCTATATTGAGTGTTTAATTATCTGTTAGAGCTCCATATGCATTAGTTTGATGAGTGAATAAACTTGACCATGTGTCTTTCACACTATTCATGGGGTGGTGAGAAAATACTCGAGCATGCCCTTCTAAGTTGTAGGCCAACTGTCAGCCTCTCTAGCCACGCCAAAGAGCCTCCTCCTGGTGTGCCGATTATTAGTTGCCACAATAATTCTTTGGAAAATATCTGAGGAGAAAATCTTTGCTTTTATTGGTGGACAACATCATGAAGAAGGGTTGGGAAAGAACTCATTTTAGACCAGGCTAGATGATATATCCAAGAACGGGTTCAGAGAAAAATGTTTTCAAGAAAGTAATTCACTTACACAGTCACTTTTCATATGCTATCCTATGCTGTAATAATAATAAAAGCCATCATTAATGGAGAGTTTACTGTGTTCCAGGCACTAAGTTAATAGCTTTATATACTTTATCTCACTGAATCCTCCAAATAGCTCTATTATTTAGAAGAATGTTGTTCATTTGGCTGGGCCTTCCATACCAATATCCTGGCATCCAACATCATGTCTCCTTGTGACCCCTACCAAAAGTTTTCAAAACTTCTACAGAACACAGATGAAGGTCAGATATAACTACAGGGCCACGAGTGGATCCAGAATGTCTAGAAAATTCACAGTTGGGGACAAACTGAAAAATAATTGAATTTATAACAGAAGATATCAAATCTGATTAAGACATTATGAAAAAAGAAAAAGTGAGGACAGTTCTGGGGCCAGAGCTAGTTGGGAATGAACAAAGAATAACCAGAGGAAATTCCTAGAATCATGGACGTCTCTGGTGGGGCTCTCATCAAAGGCCTTTGACGGTACCCACAGATGCACTTTCTTGAATATTAAAAAAGAGCCTCCCCATGAGAGAGGCAAATAAGGTTTTTCTTCCTTCTTGGCTTAGAAGGTGAATTGAAAGCACTGTCCAAGATGCAAATGGAAACATCAAGTATGGTGACTTCTACCACATACATCCCTGATGTACGGCAACAGCATCAGAGTCTCTGCTCAAACAGTAAACTTGGAGAAACCTAACCTGTGAGAATAGAGCTAAGGTGCATTACAAATCTCTTTCATGCCCACCAATTTATTTTCATCAAGCCCCCTCTCAATTTCATTTTGAGCAGGAAAAAAATAAAAAAAACTTATTCAGCAGATTGAATGTGGCACCAATATGGAATCCAGTTCATGGACAAATAAAAGGTCTATAAAGAGGTAATATTTTTAACCTTCTGGAAACTAAGTGGCCTATAACTTCCAAATACATACCTCACATCTGGCTTCCTGAACACCACCACTAATATAGTTTTCTTTGGATGGATAAATAAATCTTCCAATGAGTGAGCCCTACAGAGCATTAAATAAAAAGAGGGCTGCTCCATAAAAAGGGCCTTGGAACTCGGTCAACATAGGAATGAAGTGATGTAGGACAGAGCACACCTGGACTAGTGACAGCAGAACTAGAGAGGCCCTGAACAAGGAGGACAGAAAATACCCTGCAAAGATAAAAGAAATGAAACACCATGAAAAAAGGGTGATACCTACATTAAAACAGCAGAAACTGGTCAAACCAGAGAGGAAGGGTGAGAATTGATCTTAACTGATTGCCTATTATGATTCTGGCACTTACCTGTCATTTTTGTATGTTATCCTATGCTATAATAAGAATAAAAGCCACCATTAATGGAGAGTTTACTATGTCCCAGGCACTAAGTTAATAGCTTTAGATAACTTGTCTCACTGAATCCTCTTAATAACTCTGTTATAACCTCATTTTGCATATGCAGAAACACAGTTTAGAAAATGTTAAGTACCTTGCCCAAGGTCATGCCATAACTAAATGATGAAGGAAGGATTTGATCTTGGGTCTCTGACTCCAAAGCAGATGATATTTCCACATGGTGTCTTCCTGTGTGGCCAAAAGGCAGAGTCACTTATAAGAGATAAACCCTCAAAATAGTGGAAACCATAAAGAACTCATTATTAATTCTTTAAAATAATGTGTATGTCAGCATAGATAATATTATCTTACAATTTTCTATAGCAAGCGGCAGTGATATGCATCTATATGCCAGTTGTATCCAGCATGTGAATTCCAACACTCCTGATCAATCACAATCCTGATTTGCTTCCTGAAGGATCTAAGCTTGGAGTCAACTCTAGAACACTTGCATTGATTGGACTTACTGCAAGGCAGCATATTCTCTCTTATCCACCCCACTTGTTACTCACAGCATGCATTTGCAAGATGTCTGGCCAGGTTTGGGGGTACAATGTGTGAATGTAGAATAGATTTCTTTTTTTTCCTCTGAGTCAATTTTCCCGGTTTCCATGGGGAAAGAGTCCATGCTTTTGGCCTTATTAGCACTGTACCAACTGAGCTCACTGACCCAGATAAATATTGTCTGTCTGACATGTGCTTCAGGAATAATAAATATGCAAAACTATTTTTAAACAGAACTCTGTTCTCAGCTATGGGCATTCACTGAGAGAATCAGAGATTGGAATAACCCCCAACATCAGAGAGCTCCATACTTTTCCCCCAAATCATTCCTATTTGTCTTTGGTCTCTGCCATATGATGTGTGTTCTGTGGTTTTAAGAGTCTAATAATGCTTTGGTTAAGCTAAGGTTAAAATTAGTTTGCATTTGCTGCCCACACAGCAACTGATGGCAGGGAATTTATCCCAGGAGCATGCTGCACAGTGGGAGAAGCTGGCTCAGAAGTGCCAGAGGTAATCTGGGAAGTGGAAGATGTCCATGATGAACATGGAAAGGCACTGTAGATCACTGCCATCACACACACACAAAATCCACTTATTGTTCAAACATAGTGCAAAAAGAGCTGGAAGCTGGGGTTCACAGCTATAGGGAAACAGAGGGGAGAAGAGAAGTTTACACATAAATGCTGATGCTGTGGCAGCAATAAGGAGTAGATTCTAAGTGAGAAAGGGGGCATGGGGCCAATTTTCTTAGGAAAAAAAATTCCACTATTGTTATAGATTTTCCATAAGAGATAGTTTTTCTAGGATCTAGCTTATTCATCTGTGAGTATAAAAATAATGCCATTTTCTTTTTGCATTATGAGATTTATACTTCATTTCTTTTACTCATGAGAATTTGCAACTAAAAAAAAACCTCAATATGCTTCTAATTAACCTGTTTTGTTCACTATTCAAGGGACCTTGCTGCCAAGGCTTTCATTTTGACTTGATAGTAAAATCGTTGACACTATAGGCATAATGCAAGGAATTAAAAATGTAAAGACTACCACTGAAAACCATTTTCTTCTATTGGAGTGTTTTTGTATATGGCCCAGATTACCACTGAACATTTTTGCCTTTAGGTAAGTTTATAATACTTTTTCATTTTAGAAGAAATGTGGAGTTTTTGTTTAGAAATGAGCAATATGAAAGTTAAATTGAATTTGTGTTTCTTAAGCTCAGAATGCTAAAATGCAGTACAAAATTATGAGAAGAGGAAGTCATCAGAAATTTCAGAACTGCTCAGTGTGTAAGACTGCAGAGGCCCAATCATCATAAACTCAAATGCATTTTAATAGTCATTTTCATTTAATGTAAAATTCTGGTTTATTCAAACTGTTTAGCAGCTCAGAGATCACAAGATGTGGCTCTATGACTGTTGTATGCTAATCGGAAAGCAGCTGGGAAACAGAGAGTCATTTGACAGAAGTTCTTTATCTTGGCAAGTTTATGTGGAACTAATCTCAAATAAACCACTGTAGCCCACTACTACAGGGACTTAAAATGTTCTAAAATATTAAACGTAGCACTTTTCCCCTTAGTTTACTGAGCTTTGCTTGGTTAATAATTTAACTAGCAAGCTTCTCTGTCCCCATTGCAAGTCTTTGTTTCTGTTATGCTTGTAGATTTAGAAGGATCTACTCTTTGCATATTCAGTGGCTAAGTCTCTTTTTCACTACAGAAATACTAGTTAAGAAACAGCTTCCACCAATGTATCAAGGTGACCGATGAGAGGAAATGCCGTCCTCCAGCTATCTGCTGAAAATGCAGCACAGACTCTGGCTACACTCACCAAAAATGGGTACAGGATATAGGTGAGGCAAGAAAGAAGGTTTAATTGGACAAAAGAATGTAGACCATCATGAGCAAAAAAACTATATGCCCCCAGAATTCCTGAGCTTCCAGGGCCACTTCTTCATGTTGCAGATGTTGATTGTTAGGACCGTGGAGAGGTAGGGAAGGGATAATTTCCCTCAGCTTCTACATGCAAATATTCCTGTAGCCTGGTAAGGCAGTCTGGGTCTTTTACCCCAGTGGTAAGGTTTGTTTGGCAATACCAACAAGGTAAGGGCTTGAAGTCATCATTAACAAGCTGATATTTAGAGCAGTCGTAGCTTAGTAGTTTAAAGAGTAGTTTAAGAGTTCTGTATGTATACCAGTTAGGACTGAATTTGGCTCTTACAACAAACTTGACAAACAAAGGGATAGATAAAACTGGAGATTATCATTCTCAAATAACAAAAAGTTTAGTTGTAGGTATTTCAGGACTGGTTTGATTACTTAAAGATCTTATAAAAAACCTGCACTCCTAATTTCTTGTTATCATTTTGGTTTGCAATATGACTGTTGAACTTATAAGACATCATGTTTGTGTCTCAGCAGGGACAGAGGGTAACGTCTTCTCCTTGTGAGGTTTGTCTTTGTATCTGGGAAGGAAAGCCCTCCTTAGAAACTTATGCTTACATCTTCTTGACCAGGATTATATTGCGGGTATGTCACTTTTAGTGGAAAGGGGAGCTGGGAATTCATATATTTTGCTAACATGTATCAATGTATCGTGGAGAAAGGTGAAGAAGGATAAGGGGGTTGCAATGGGTGTGGAATAAGCTGGCCACAAAGTAGAAAGTGGAAGGGGACAAACTGTAAGAATATCAAGCATAGATATATATATCTCTCTCTCAAAAGATTGACCAAGTTAAACAAAATAGGAACAAATTCACCCCCAAGAAGACCTGGTGATGTTTTATTTGAAAGTGACATGTCATGAAATGTATGTAGTGTAACTTGAATGGGGTAATAATCTGGAGAAAGATACAAAGATGAGTGAAGAAGGCCTGATTTTATATTTTCTTTTCTTAATTTAGAAATACTTTACCTTCCCTGAATTATGTCTGCTTGTTCATCCTTTTTTGTTCTCATATTGTCCAAAACACATGACATTGTACCTTGAGTTCTACATAAAATACTACAAAATTTCTAGGGCAATAAAAGTTCTAATTTGAGCATGCCTCACATGCAGTGTTCACTGATAAGTGAGGATTATCTGAAAACCCACCATAGTATTATTGATTCCATTACTACAAAGCTCAGACTATACTACATTTGTCAGAGCACAAGTATATCCCGTTACAGAGCTAGATATAGAAATAGAAAGTGCAGTAAGACAGGATAGGCCAGCAGATTCTGGGAATTAAGTGAGCATATTCATTGGAGTGGAACAAGTTGCATGTGGGATGGTGCAGGGTGGGGTCAGTAGCTGCAAGCAATTTGAGAAATGCAGACCTAGAGAGTAGTAGTTTTCAAAGTGTGAGCCCTGGACAAGCAATAGCAACTCCTAGGACATTGTTAGAATGCAAATTCTTGGACCCCACTCTAGATAAACTGGATCAAAACATAGAAAAGAACTCTGCAAGAGGTCACATAGACTTGTCTTGGAGTAGAGATTTAGTGAACTTGAAGAGTAGCAAGATGTCACTCCAAGTTAAGCCACTTTGGCATAAGGATAATTTTGGCTGAACGCAATTGAGAAGAAACAGATATAAGAAGTTAGATGCCCTTCCCCAGTTTGATGAAAAATAAGACATAAGTTTGTAAAGATGTCCCTCCTCTTCCCTCTAGCAGGAAGGACAGAAGTTTATAACCAGAGACAACTCTAGACACATATTAGCCCCAAGATGGTAATAGAGGAATCTATACAACAAACACTAGTATCTAGCTCTTATCTCTCATTAATTCCCTCTATATATTTGCATTCCACAATTTTCCATGCCTAGAAGTTCAAAGTTTTTCTCTTTGTCTTGTCACCTTTCTAAAAAGTATTGTTCTTTTGTTGGGAGACTATATAAACTCAAGTTCTAACCAACCCCTTTCAGTAACTCATCTCTGAGTAACATGTGTATATGTGATGCACATGTTAATAAACTTCTGCTTGTTTTTCTTTTGTTAATTTGTCTTTTGTAAGTCTATCTTACAGGGCCCCATCAATGAATCTAAGATGTATAGAGGAAAATATATTATTTTTCCCCCTACAGATTCTAGACCCAGCAGAAAATTTAGCACGAGCTAAATGTTTCATGATTTCTGAGGTGAGTGGAAGGTGGTAAAAAGAACTTGGGTAAAGACCTTATGACTTGGTGTTTGAGACAAAGCCAAAGCTTAATTATTTTGTTCTGAGTGAAGGTTAGAAAAGGACTGCTATTGACATGAAGTCCTTGCCCATGCCTATGTCCTGAATGGTATTGCCTAGGTTTTCTTCTAGGGTTTTTATGGTTTTAGGTCTAACATGTAAGTCTTTAATCCATCTTAAATTAATTTTTGTATAAGGTGTAAGGAAGGGATAAAGTTTCAGCTTTCTACATATGGCTAGCCAGTTTTCCCAGCACCATTTATTAAATAGGGAATCCTTTCCCCATTGCTCCTTTTTGTCAGGTTTGTCAAAGATCAGATAGTTGTAGATATGCAGCATTATTTCTGAGGGCTCTGTTCTGTTCCATTGGTCTATATCTCTGTTTTGGTACCAGTACCATGATGTTTTGGTTACTGTAGCCTTGTAGTATAGTTTGAAGTCAGGTAGCGTGATGCCTCCAGCTTTGTTCTTTTGGCTTAGGATTGACTTGGCAATGCGGGCTCTTTTTTGGTTCTATATGAACTTTAAAGTAGTTTTTTCCAATTCTGTGAAGAAAGTCATTCGTAGCTTGACGGGGATGGCATTGAATCTATAAATTACCTTGGGCAGTATGGCCATTTTCATGATATTGATTCTTCCTACCCATGAGCATGGAATGTTCTTCCATTTGTTTGTATCCTCTTTTATTTCACTGAGCAGTGGTTTGTAGTTCTCCTTGAAGAGGTCCTTCACATCCCCTGTAAGTTGGATTCCTAGGTATTTTATTCTCTTTGAAGCAATTGTGAATAGGAGTTCACTCATGATTTGGCTCTCTGTTTGTCTGTTATTGGTGTATAAGAATGCTTGTGATTTTTGCACATTGATTTTTTATCCTGAAGACTTTGCTGAAGTTGCTTATCAGGTTAAGGAGATTTTGGGCTGAGATGATGGGGTTTTCTAGATATACAATCATATCATCTGCAAACAGGGACAATTTGACTAAAACACCAAAAGCAATGGCAACAAAAGCCAAAATTGACAAATGGGATCTAATTAAACTGAAGAGCTTCTGCACAGCAAAAGAAACTACCATCAGAGTGAACAGGCAACCTACAGAATAACAACCTGAGTAGCATGTGTTATTCAGGTTGGTATACAGAATGGGAGAAAATTTTTGCAACCTACTCATCTGACAAAGGGATAATATCCAAAATCTACAATGAACTCAAACAAATTTACAAGAAAAAAACAAACAACCCCATCAAAAAGTGGGCAAAGGATATGAACAGACACTTCTCAAAAGAAGACATTTATGCAGCCAAAAAACACATGAAAAAATGTTCATCATCACTGGCCATCAGAGAAATGCAAATCAAAACCACAATGAGATACCATCTCACACCAGTTAGAATGGCAATCATTAAAAAGTCAGGAGACAACAGGTGCTGGAGAGGACGTGGAGAAATAGGAACACTTTTCCACTGTTGGTGGGACAATAAACTAGTTCAACAATTGTGGAAATCGGTGTGGCATTTCCTCAGGGATCTAGAACTAGAAATACCATTTGACCCAGCCATCCCATTACTGGATATATACCCAAAGGATTATAAATCATGCTTCTATAAAGACATATGCACACGTATGTTTGTTGCAGCACTATTCACAATAGCAAAGACTTGGAACCAACCCAAATGTCCAACAATGATAGACTGGATTAAGAAAATGTGGCACACATACACCATGGAATACTATGCAGCCATAAAAAATGATGAGTTCATGTCCTTTGTAGGGACATGGATGAAGCTGGAAACCATTATTCTCAGCAAACTATCACAAGGACAAAAAACCAAACACTGCATGTTCTCACTCATAGGTGGGTATTGAACAATGAGAACACACGGACACAGGAAGGGGAACATCACACACCGGGGACTGTTGTGGGGTGGGGGGAAGGGGGAGGGATAGAATTAGGAGATATATCTAATGCTAAATGACGAGTTAATGGGTGCAGCACACCAACATGGCACATGTGTACATATGTAACAAACCTGCACATTGTGTACATGTACCCTAAAACTTAAAGTATAATAATAATAATAATAATAATAAAAGAAAAGAACTGCTATCACTGGTGACTTGCTGCCATTTCCCATGGCCATCTCCTTGAATTTCTCCTCAGACAACGCTGACAGCACAGGAGAACTAGGTAATTAGAGATCAGACCAATTGTATTAGTCTGTTCTCACACTGCTAATAAAGACGTACCACAGACTGGGTAATTTATAAAGGAAAAAGGTTGGGTTAATGGGCTCACAGTTCCACATGGTCAGGGAGGCCTCACAATCATGGTTGAAGGCAAAGGAGAAGCAAAGGCACGTCTTACATGGAGGCAGGCAAGAGAGCTTGTGTAGGGGAGCTCCCATTTATAAAACCATCAGATCTTTTGTGACTTATTCATTATCATAAGAATAGCATGGGAAAAACCTGCCCCCATGATTCAATTACCTCCCATTGGGTCTTTCCCATGACACATGGGGATTATGGGAGTTACAATTCAAGATTTGGGTGGGGACACAGCCAAACCATATGACCAATTAAATTACAATTTCTGAGGGAGGTTCCCAGGCTTTGGTAACCTTAAGAATCTCTTCAGGAGCTTCAGAATGTGCTGCCAAGGTTGAAAACCCTGCCCCAGGAGCCTCTAGGTAACAACTAATGACTTCAGCTTGGGAAAGGAAAGAGCTATGGAGACAGATATGACATTCTAGCAAGGAGCTAATTGACTACCCTTTTCTCATCTGTAAATTGGAGAAAATAATAGTACACTTAGAAGAGTCTCTAGCACAAAATGTTCAACAACATGTATGTGTCCACATTTCTCATGATAAGGTAAGCTTTGTAAGAATGGAAGAATGGGGATTATTTATGACATTCACCCCAGCAGCGAATCCACTATACAGCACACAATCAACAAAGAGTAAATATTTGTTAAATAAACAGATGAGGCCGGGCATGGTGACTCATGCCTGTAATCCCGCACTTTGGGAGGCCGAGGCAGGCAGAACACCTGAGGTCAGGAGTTTGAGACCAACCTGGCCAACATGGTAAAACCCTGTCTCTACTAAAAATGCAAAAATTAGCCGGGAGTGGTGGCATGCACCTGTAATCCCAGCTATTCGGTAGGCTGAGGTAAGAGAATCGCTTGAACCTAGGAGGTGGAGGATGCACTGAGCCAAGATTGCACCATTGCACTCCAGCCTGGTAGACAGAGAGAAACTCCATCTCAAAAACAAACAAACAAAAAACTTGATGAGTATTTCAGTTTCCCAGGGTTTAAGATGAAAGCTAAGCACATTGCCAATATTCTATTTTCACAGAGATGGAGTGAAGGCAGCTGAGTCTAATCAAAAAAGCTGTTTTGTGAGCTTCTTCTTCTTCTTTTTTTTTTTTTTGAGACAGGGTCCCACTCTGTCACCCAGGCTGGAGTGCAATGGCATGATAACAGCTTACTGCAGCCTCGACTTCCTGGGCTCAAGTGATCCTCCCACCTCAGCCTCTCGAGGAACTGGGACCACAAGCATGTGCCACCACACTGAGCAAATATTTTTTATTTTTGCATAGAGACAGGGTTTCACTATATTTCCCAGGCTGGTCTTGAACACTTGGGCTCAAGCAATCATCCCACCTCAGCCTCCATAAATACCAGGATTACAAGCATGAGCCACCATGCCTGTCCCTGTAATTCTTAAAATATATATATTTTAAATCTACAACTGTGCTGTCCATATAGGAGCCACTAGCTGCATATGGCTAATTGAGCACTTGGCACATGCCTAGTCCAAATGGAGATGTGCTGTAAGTATAAAATATGCACAAGATTTTGGAGGCTTAGTATGTAAATATAACATAAAATATCTGATTAATAGCCTAAGCAACATAGTGAGACTCTGTTTCTACAGAAAATAAAAAAAAAATAGCCAGATAGGGAAGTGCAAGCCTCTAGTCCTTGCTTTTCAGGAGGCTTAGGCAGGAGGATTGCTTGAGCTTAAAAGTTTGAGATTGCAGTGACTCATTACCATGTCACTGCACTTCAGCCTGGGTGACAGAGCTAGACCCCATCTCTATAAAAAATTATATATTAAAATTGTAATATTTTGGACATTGAGTTAAATGAAAATACATTATTAAAATTAATTTCTTCTGTTCCTTTTCCTTTTTCAAAATATATTAGGAAATTTTAGATTACATATGTGGCTTGCTCTTTAGGACTGCTTTATATTACTGTTGGATAGTATTGGTCTAGAAGGCAACAATACTATGATGCTTTGACTTTACTTGATGGCTGTGTCACAGGAAACAATTAAGACAAGAAAATCAGCAAGGCCTTGATATTTTGAGTTAGAGCAGCCCAGTTTTTTTTTTTTTTTTTTTTTTTTTTTTTTTTTTTTTGAGACGGAGTCTCGCTCTGTCGCCCAGGTCGGACTGCGGACTGCAGTGGCGCAATCTCGGCTCACTGCAAGCTCCGCTTCCCAGGTTCACGCCATTCTCCTGCCTCAGCCTCCCGAGTAGCTGGGACTACAGGCGCCCGCCACCGCGCCCGGGTAATTTTTTTTTTGTATTTTTAGTAGAGACGGGGTTTCACCTTGTTAGCCAGGATGGTCTCGATCTCCTGACCTCATGATCCACCCGCCTCGGCCTCCCAAAGTGCTGGGATTACAGGCGTGAGCCACCGCGCCCGGCCTAGAGCAGCCCAGTTTTAACCATAGCCGATTATAGGGAAATTACAAGCAAAAGATATGAAGACACTTAATAAAGCAAAGCAGAAGGCTTTATGAAGTCAGTCATCCAATCTTAGATAACCCTTTCCTGGAAAGCGGTTTTTGTCTAACCTGAGTTTAGTGTCCCCCTACGTGAATATATTAGGCCTGTTATCCATTACAGGCCTTTGGTTAGGAATTATTGACTACATATTGTTTCTCTGAAACATCTGCATCAACACTGTTATTTTAACATCTGTGTTTCTTCATCTGTTTATAATCATGGCAATATTCTTCACAAAATTTGCTTTTTGCTCTTTAAAGATTTTTTACTAAATAAAAGTTTGCCAATGTATTAGATGCATTGATATGTTATCAATGAAACTTCCCCTTTCTGTCCAGGCACTTAAAGTACCAGGCCCTTTTTCGATTGGATTGCTGATGAAGACGAGTGTGTGAGTGTGTGCCTTGCATGCAAACAGACAAATGAAAAAATAATATAAAGTATTATCTAATTCATTATTTTTTGAATCCCTCCTTATCATTGATGATTGTAGGTTTTTAAATTAGTATTAAATTAATTGAGCTGAGGAAGTAATAACATGCTTTTAAAATCATGGTATGTTAGACATTGATAAAATAAGCTTTAAAAATGTATTATGAAAAGAACCTAGTTCTCTCCCCACCCCCACTTTGTAGGTAATAGAAAATGAGACAGTGTTAATAACAATCTAATGCTCAATAACAGCAAAGAGAGGCAACATATCATTATCCATCTGCAATAGAATTATCATTCAGGAAGACTTCTATAATGAGACATATATCCATCTCTCTGTTCATTCTATTCATGGACAAGAAGTCTTGTGCATTCTTAAGTACTTGAAACTTGCTGTCAAAGATCTTTTTAGATTAAGCAAATAATGTGCTTTGAAATACAAGTGATGAACTTGGGGAATTTGATTTTTCTCTCAGATACATAGTAGAAATCTGTGCTTTTAGACTAAAAAGTAAAATGACATAATTTCATGGTCTTATATTCTTCAAGATATGCTATTGATTACTCCATTTTTGAATTGGCTCTGCTCCCTAATAGTTCACTCTTCCATTTTAGTCACTCCTTATTGACTGTTCCTTCTCTGTGTTCTCTAAGGAATTTAAATTTTATGCCAAACTCAAGGAGAACACCATGAAAATTTGACATCACCACGATGTGAAGTAGGGTGAAACCAGAATCCAGCTGACAAACAATGAAGGTCTAAACTTAAAAAGCTGGAGGTAACACAGAGAAAGGGGGATAGATTCCACAAATATTAAGAAAGCCTAACTTTCTTCCATTTCTATCGTGACAGATTGGATATCCTAAACAACCCTATTGAAGACGATAACTAATAATTTAGGCAACATTTTAAAATAATGAAAAAGACAAATTTTAGTATACAACGGAAATGGCAAACACACACACACAACCATACACACACACACACACACACACACTCACACACACCCCTACACACAAAGGATGGAACCAATAGAGGACAAAAAATGAAGTGAAAGTAGGAACTCTGAGAGATCAGCCAGTGCCTAAGCCACTCTGATGACTTCTACAAAACTCTAGTGACCTTGAGTTTTAGTTTCACTGACTACAACATATGTGAAACTTACAGCCTAGAGCAGACAAAAATATAGACTCCGATAAAACTCCCTCACATAAATCTGGGGAACAACAGGACTATATCCTCAGTGTCAGGGTGCCCTGCGGAAGAGGCCAGCAAGGAATCTTGCCTATCTTAATTTTATTGCTACAAGAATATGAAAAATTTACCCCTGAGATATCACAATGCAATCCTTTTATTATGTAAGGCTGTAGCACAAATTCATATCAGCTCAGATAAAGTGACTCCAAATTGGTGGTACTTCTGCAAACAAGGAGAAGCAAACTCAATTCCTCTTTAGAAGATGTAACCTCAGACCAGGCATAAAAGAATATTCACATAAAAAGTTTTAAGGAACCTGAGTTCATAAAGCCATAAACAAAACGAGGATACATGCTCCATGTTGTCAGCAAAAACAATAGAAGGTAGCATCAAACCCACAATGATATTTAAATTGTAAGACAGAGTAAAAATTAATTATCACTAATAGATTTTAACTAATAAAAGAGGAAATTAAATATATGAACAAAGAATGAGCATATAGAACTTACCAATGAAATTTGAAAAATAATAATCAGAAAAAAATTCTGTGCATAAAAACAATAATGACAATTTTAACTCAATAAATAAGTTAAACTATATATTAAACTCAGTTGAAGAGAGAATTAAGGAATTCTGTGAGAAGTTAGAAGAAGTTATCCAAAAAGTAGCCCAGAAAGATATATTTGTTGTCTATAAAGAAATAATCAGAATAAGAAAATGATACTATGTAGAAAATACTACTCAGTTATGGAAAGACAATATGGGAAGCACAGAGTAAGAAAGTAGAAATAAACTTAGAAAGTAATAACAAAAATGTAAACAAATTAAACTCTTAAAAGACAAAGATTGTCAATTATATTTTTTATAATACATTGAGTTAAGTGTGCTTTACTAAGGAAACTCCAAAAATATAAAAATGCCAAAGGATTGAAGATAAAATATAAAAAGTTGTGAGGCAAATACTAATCATAGTGTCTCAAAATCTATAAGGCAAAAATGTTCCAAATTAGAAGCTAAACTTGACAAAGTTATAAATTTTCATGTCTTGTTTTAGGAGCAGATTTAAATTATAAATGATCACAGGTGAAAAAGAGAATTAATGTTCGAGAATAAATAATCAAGCAGACAAAAAATCAGCAAGGATATATGACTTCAAAGAGTTTGATGAGCAAGCTCAACTAATGGATACATGAAATATTATACTAGGCTGGGCACAGTGGCTCCTTCCTATCATCCCAGCACTTTGGGATGCTGAGGTGGGCAGATCAGTTGAGGCCAAAAGTTCGAGACCAGCCTGGCCAACATGGTGAAACCATGTATCTACTAAAAATACAAAAACTTAGCCAGGCGTGGTAGCACACACCTGTAATCCCAGCTACTTGGGAGACTGAGGCACGAGAATCACTTGAACCTGGGAGGCAAAAGTTGTAGTGAGCCAAGATTTCACCACTGCACTCCAGCTGGGCAACAGAGAAAGATTCTGTCAAAAACAAAACAAAACAAAACAAAACAAAACAAAACAAAACAAAAAAACCTATACTTGATGCATAGAAAACACACTTTTTTCAAACACATATCGTATATTTAGGAAAACTGACCATAACCTAGGCAATAAATCAGTCTCAATAAATGTCCCAGAATTTGACAAACAACAATGTAAGATACAAGAATGCTATGTTTTCAAAAAATGCATAAAACTATTTGATAAAATTCAATAACAAAAAGATGACCAGGAAAGATGCTTATATTGAAATTAAAAAATCACATGGATATGCAATTCTTATTAAAGAAAAATACTGAAAATTGGGAAATATTTAAAACTAGTTTTAATGAGAAAACCTCATATCAAAATCTTTGGTATGCAGCTAACAGTGTACATAGAGGGAAATGTAGACTTACACTTAAGCGCTAACATTTTTAAAAGAAAGTCTAAGTATTGAAAAATAAAATACCCAAATTAAGAAGTTACAAGAGGAAAAGAGAAGAGTTTATCTGCCAAAAATAGAAAATGCAAATAAAAGCACAAATAAATGACAAGGAAAATAAACCCGTAATGGAGCAGATCAACAAATTTAAGAGTTGAGTCTTTGAAAACACTAAGAACAGATAAAAACAATGGCAAGATTAATGAAAAAAAAAGAAGAAAAGAAAATACAAACAACATGGACATAAATTGAGTTTATATTTAAAGATACAAATTTGAAGGATCATTACAAGACTTGCCAATAATATAAATGCAATTTAGAAAGTCAACAAAACCTTAAAAGTTGAGTACAAGAAAGAAAATTATAGACCAATCTTTTTCATGAACACAAGTACAAAAATATTCAATTACAATGGCTTTCATTTATATAATACCAAATGTCAAGCATGAATCTAAGGACTTTACTTACATAAACTCACTTAATCATCAAAGCAACCCTATGAAGTAGGTACAAGTATTGTGCTCAATTTACAAATAAGAAGACTGAGACACAGCGAGAAACTTGGTCAAGGTCATACATTAAGTTGCAATGCTGTAATTCAAATTCTGCCAGTTTTGCTCTAGGGTCTACTAAAAAGGCTGTCAAAAACAAGTTTTGGCAAGATGCAGAAGTATTGGCATGCTCATGCATTGCTGGTGGGAATGAAAAATAATATAATTTTTTAGAAAATAATCTGGCCATATCTTATACACATTCACCTTCCCGATGACTCAGGAATTCTACTCCAGGTACTTTCCCAAAAGAAACAAAACATATGTCCAGAAAAGATATGGGGGCTACAAGGTTCAAAATAGCAGCTTCATTCATAATTGCCCTAAAATGGAAACAACCCAATGCCATAACCAGGTGATTATAATAAAATTGCAATATATTCATATGATAGAATACTTAGCAAGAAAAAGAACAAACTACTGATGTACACAACTTGAATAAAAATGCCAGACACCAAAGATTTTATTTACATATATGTTGCAATTTGTATCAAATTCTAGGATAGGCAAAACTAAGATACGGCGATTGAAATCAGAGCAGCCTCTAGCATAAGGAGATGAATTGGAAAGGGACATGAGGAAATGTACTAGTTTTTTGATGCTGTATAACAAAGTACCACAAACTTAGTGACTTAAACAACATCCATTTATTATTTTACAGTTTCTGTAGGTCAGAAGTCTAAGTATGGCATAGCTGGGTCTTCTGCCAAGGGTTGACAAAGTGTTAGCTAGAGCTGCAGTCTCACCTGGAGTCCAAGGTCCTTGTCCAGGTTCTTGTTGTTGCAGGAACAATTTAGTTCCTCACATCTGTAGAACTGAAGTCCATGTTTCTTACTGACTTTCAGATAGAAGTCACACTCTAAATGCCTAAAGTTACCCTCATTTCCTAATCACAGGGACCCTTCTATAGGCAGTTCACAACAAGCCTGATTATTTTTTTATGAATCAGAAGTATGTCCGCTGCTGCTGGCAAGGATGTGGAGAAGTAGGAATGCTTTTACACTGTTGGTGGGAGTGTCAGCCATTGTGGAAGACAATGTGGTGATTCCTCAAGGATCTAGAACCAGAAATACCATTTGACCCAGCAATCCCATTGCTGGGTATATACCCAAAGGATTATAAATCACGCTACTATAAAGACGTATGTTTTTTGCACACGTATGTTTATTGTAGCACATTTACAATAGCAAAGACTTGTAACCTACCCAAATGCCCATCAATGATAGACTGGATAAAGATAATATGGCACATATACACCACGGAATACTATGCAGCCATAAAAATGACTTTACGTCCTTTGCAGGGACATGGACAAAGGTGGAAACCATCATCCTCAGCAAACTAACACAGGAACAGAAAACCAAACACTTCATGTTCTCATTCATAAGTGGGGGTTGAACAATGAGAACACCTGGACACAGGGAGGGGAACATAACACACTTAGGGCCTGTCGTGGGGTGGGGGGTAAGGGGAGGGAGAGAATTAGGACAAATACCTAATGCATGGGGGGCTTAAAACCTAAATGACAGTTTGATAGGTGCAGCAAACTACCATGGCACATATATACCTATGTAACAAACCTGCATGTTCAGCACATGTATCCCAGAACTTAAAATAAAATAAAATAAAATAAAATAAAATAAAATAAAATAAAAATAAAAGCTACCTAATTACAGTAGGCTCATCCTTTTTATTGAAATCGACTGACTAGGGACATTAATTATAACTGCAGAATCTCTTTGTCTATATAACAAAGCATAATAAAGGGAGTGATATTTCATCATATTTGCAGACCTTACCCACATTTGAGGGAGGGAATCATATAGGGTGTGAACCCTAGAGACTAGGAAATTTGGGGGTCATCTAAGAATTCTTCCTACCACATGGAATTTATTGGGGTCTGTACACATTTATCAAAACTGATTAATCTCCACATTTAAAATCTGTATGCTATGTTATATTTAAAATATACTTCAATAATAATAATAATAATGACATAGAATAAACATTATATTTAATGATAAAATATTGAAAGCTTGTTGCCTGATCTGGAAGAAGAAAAGATTTTTCTATCACCAATTCTATTTAACATTGTACTCATGTGCAGGCAACCATCTTGGTCCTATACTTCATCTTCAGGAGACATTGGAGATGGGGAGAAAAACTGACACAAATATGTTGAAACTCATGTTGCTTTTTCTTATTTATTATACTTTAAGTTCTAGGGTACATGTGCCCAACATGCACGTTTGTTCCATAGGTATACATGTGCCATGTTGGTTTACTGCACCCATCAACTCGTCATTGACATTAGGTAATTCTCCTAACGCTATCCCTCCCCCAGCCCCCCACCCCACAAACAAGACCCAGTGTGTGATGTTCCAGTGTAAAAGCGTTCCTATTTCTCCACATCCCCTCCAGCATCTGTTGTTTCCTGACTTTTTAATGATCGCCATTCACACTGGTGAGAGATGGTATCTCATTGTGGTTTTGATTTGCATTTCTCTGATGACAGTGATGATGAGCTTTTTTTCATATGTCTCTTGGCTGCATAAATGTCTTTTTTTTGAGAAGTGTCTGTTGATATCCTTTGCCCGCTTTTTGATGGCATTGTTTGTCTTTTTTCTTTTAAATTTGTTTAAGTTCTTTGTAGATTCTGGATATTAGCCCTTTGTCAGATGGACAGATTGCAAATATTTTCTTTGATTCTGTAGGTTGCCTGTTCACTCTGATGATAGTTTCTTTTACTGTGCAAAAGCTCTATAGTTTAATTAGATCCCATTTGTCTATGTTGGCTTTTGTTGCCATTACTTTCAGTGTTTCACTCATGAAGTCTTTACCCATGCCTATGTCCTGCATGGTATTGCGTAGGTTTTCTTCTACGGCTTTTACGGATTTAGGACTTATATTTAAGTCTTTAATCCATCTTGAGTTAATTTTTGTATAAGGTGTAAGGAAGGGATCCAGTCTCAGCTTTCTACATATGGCTAGCCAGTTTTCCCAGCACCATTTATTAAATAGGGAATCTCTTCCCCATTGCTTTTTTTTGTCAGGTTTGTCAAAGATCAGATGGTTGAAGATGTGTGGCATTATTTCTGAGGCCTCTGTTCTATTCCTTTGGTCTATATAACTGTTTTGGTACCAGTACCATGTTGTTTTGGTTACTGTAGCCTTGAAGTGTAGTTTGAAGTCAGGTAGTGTGATGCCTCCAGCTTTGTTCTCTTTGCTCAGGATTATCTTGGCTATGCAGGCTCTTTTTTGGTTCCATATGACATTGAAAATCGTTTTTTCCAATTCTGTGAAGAAATTCAGTGGTAGCTTGATGGGGATAGCATTGAATCTATAAATTACTTTGGGCAGTATGACTATTTTCATGATATTGGTTCTTCCTATCCATGAGCATGAAATGTTCTTCCATTTGTTTGTGTCCTCTTTTATTTCATTGAGCAGTGGTTTGTAGTTCTCCTTGAAGAGGTCCTTCACATCCCCTGTAAGTTGGATTCCTAGGTATTTTATTCTCTTTGTAGTAATTGTGAATGGGAGTTCACTCATGATTTGGCTCTCTGTTTGTCTCTTATTGGTGTATAGGAATGCTTGTGATTTTTGTTCATTGATTTTATATCCTGAGACTTTGCTGAATTTGCTTATCAGCTTAACGAGATTTGGAGCTGAGACAATGGTGTGTTCTAAATATACAGTCATGTTGTCTGCAACATGACTTCCTCTTTTCCTAATTGAATACCCTTTATTTCTTTCTCTTGCCTGACAGCCCTGGCCAGAACTTCCAATACTATGTTCAATAGGAGTGGTGAGAGAGGGCATCCTTGTCTTGTGCAGGTTTCCAAAGGAAATTCTTCCAGGTTTGTCCAATCAGTATGATATTGGCTGTGGGTTTGTCATAAATAGCTCTTGTTATTTTAAGATATGCTCCATCAAAACCTAGTTTATTGAGAGTTTCTAGCATAAAAGCCTGTTGAATTTTGTCTAAGACCTTTCCTGAATCTATGAGATAATCATGTGGTTTTTGTCATTGGTTCTGTTTATGTGATACATTACATTTACTGATTTGCGTAAGTTGAACTGGCCTTGCATCCCAGGGATGAAGCTGACTTGATCGTGGTAGATGAGCTTTTTGATGTGCTGCTGGATTCAGTTTGCCAGTGTTTTATTAAGGATTTTCACATTGATGTTAGGGATTTTGTTGTGTCTCTGCCAGGCTTTGGTATCAGGATGATACTGGGCTTATAAAATGAGTTAGGGAGGATTCCCACTTTTTCTATTGAATGGAATAGTTTCAGAAGGGATGGTACCAGCTCCTCTTTGTACCTCTGGTAGAATTTGGCTGTGAATCTGTCTGGTCCTGGAGTTTTTTTGGTTGGTAGGCTATTAATTATTGCCTCAATTTCAGAACCTGTAATTGGTCTATTCAGAGATTCAACTTCTTCCTGGTTTAGTCTTGGGAGGGTGTATGTGTCCAGGAATTTATCCATTTCTTCTAGATTTTCTAGTTTATTTGTGTAGAGGTCTTGATAGTATTCTCTGATGGTAGTTTATATTTCTGTGGGATTGGTGGTGATATCCCCTTCATCATTTTTTATTGCATCTATTCATTTCTTCTCTCTTTTCTTCTTTATTAGTCTTGCCTGTGGTCAATCTATTTTGTTGATCTTTTCAAAAAACCAGCTCCTGGATTCCTTGATTTTTTTGAAGGGTTTGGTTTCCATGTAGTTGTGCAGTTTTGAGTGAGTTTCTTAATCCTGCATTCTAGTTTGATTACACTGTGGTTTGAGAAACTGTTTGTTGTGATTTCTGTTCTTTTAGATTTGCTGAGGAGTGTTTTACTTCCAATTATGTGGTCAATTTTAGAAGAGTGTGATATGGTGCTGAGAAGAATGTATATTCTGTTCATTTGGGGTGGAGAGTTCTGTAGATGTCTATTATGTCTGCTTGGTCCAGAGCTGAGTTCAAGTCCTGGATATCCTTGTTAATTTTCTGTCTCATTGGTCTGTCTAATATTGACAGTGGGGTGTTAAATTCTCCCATTATTATTGTGTGGGAGTGTAAGTCTTTTCATAGATCTCTAAGAACTTGCTTTATGAATCTGCTTGCACCTGTATTTGGTGCATATATATTTAGGATAGTTAGCTCTTCTTGTTGAATTGATCCCTTTACCATTATGTAATGCCCTTCTTTGTCTCTTTTGATCTTTGTTCATTTAAAGTCTGTTTTATCAGAGACCGGGATTGCAAACCCTGCTTTTTTTTTTTCCATTTGCTTGGTAGATCTTCCTCCATCCTTTTATTTTGAGCCTATGTGTGTCTTTGCATGTGAGATGGGCCTCCTGAATACAGCACACCGATGGGTCTTGACTCATCATCCAATTTGCCACTCTGTATCTTTCAATTGGGTCATTTAGCCCATTTACATTTAAGGTTAATATTGTTATGTGTGAATTTGATCTTGCTATTATGATGCTAGCTGGTTATTTTGCCCATTAATTGATGCAGTTTCTTCATAGCATTGATAGTCTACAATTTGGTAAGTTTTTGCAGTGACTGGTCCCAGTTTTTCCTTTCCATGTTTAGTGCTTCCTTCAGGAGCTCTTGTAAGGCAGCCATGGTGGTGACAAAATCTCTCAGCATTTGCTTGTCTGTAAAGGATTTTATTTCTCCTTCGCTTATGAAGCTTAGTTTGGCTGGATATGAAATTCTGGGTTGAAAATTCTTGCCTTTAAGAAAGTTGAATATGTCTTGCCCCCAGAGGTGGAATCTAGAGAGGCAGTAGGCCTTGCTGAGCTGCAGTGGGCTCTGTCCAGTTCGAGCTTCCCTGCTGCTTTGTTTACACTGTAAGGATAGAACTGCCTACTCAAGCCTCAGTAATGGCAGACTCCCCTCTCCCCACCAAGCTCCAGCATCCCAGGTCGATCTCAGACTGCTGTGCTAGCAGCAAGCAAGGCTCCATGGGCATGGGACCCACTGAACCAGGCACGGGAGGGAATCTCCTTGTCTGCCAGTTGCAAAGACCATGGGAAAAGTGCAGTATTTGGGCAGGAGTGTACCATTCCTCCAAGTACAGTCACTCATGGCTTCCCTTGGCTAAGAGAGGGAAATCCCTCAACCCCTTGTGCTTCCTGGGTGAGGCAACACCCTACCCTGCTTTGGCTTGCCCTCCATGGCCTGCACCCACTGTCCAACCAGTCCCAGTGAGATGAACCAGGCACTTCAGTTGGAAATGCAGAAGTCACCTGTCTTCTGCGTCAATCTCACTGGGAGCTGTAGACTGGAGCTGTTTCTATTCGGCCATGTTGTAAGCAACCTCATGTTGCTTCTTATGCTGTGTGAAATAATTTTTCTTTGTCTCTGACCCAAGAGTTTCATGTCTTCTGTCAGCATTCATGAAAGAGTAATCTACTAATCCATTAGCTTCTAAATAGGGTAAAATAAAAAAAAATTTTTTTTTGAGGTGGAGTCTCACTCTGTTGCCCATGCTGGAGTGGAGTGACATGATCTCGGCTCACTGCACCCTTTGCCTTCTGAGTTCAAGCTGATTCTCCTATCTCAGCCTCCCAAGTAGCTGGGACTACAGGCGCACACCACCTCACCCAGCTAATTTTTGTATTTTCAGTAGAGACAGGGTTTCGCCATGTTGGCCAGGCTGGTCTTGAACTCCTGACCTCAAGTGATCCACCTGCCTTGGCCTCCCAAAGTTCTGGGATTACAGGCATGAGCCATCATGCCCAGCCAAAATAAAATTATTGAACTAACAGGTATATACCAGTAGAAATGTAAACATACATACACCAGGATGTACAAAAAAATGAATGTAATCAGACTATTAGTGACAGCCACAAATCCAAAACAATGCAAATAGAAGAGTAAATTGTGAAGTATTACCATGTTAACTGAAAACAAATCACACAACTTATAAATTTGGAGAAAGGATTTTATTTCTTATAAAGAGTTATAGGCTGCAAGGTGGCCATCCTGCAGGCTCAGAAGAGTAGCCTCTGGCAAAGACCAGAGACAGGTACTTCAAAGGAGGAGGGGTTGAGGGAGGAGCTTTATGCTGAACCAGTTGCCTAAACATAGGTATCCAACAGCCTGTAGGAGAAGCTATGAATATTCACAAAGGTGGTCCTGAGGCATGTGTATTGAACAAACATGCATGTTACATACAACTCATGTTCACTTTGGAGTGGAGACTGAACATTTAAACGTATTACAATTAGACCCTATACATCAAAAGGTCTTTTCAGGACATGAAGGCACTGACATATGCAGCCTCATGAAACTGTCCAGAACCAATCCATAGTCTCCAGTCTTCTTATCAGGAGACAGTTACTGAAATCAATCTCTTGTCCAATCAAACCTGCAGTTATGGTTTATGGAACAGGGGCTGGAGGGATCAGTTAGTCGGCATCTGGGGAAGGTGCAATTGCTTCAGCATTGCTTATCTCAAGGCCAATGCTTGTTTAGCTGCCAGAGAAAAAGAAAAATCTTGTGGTAGTTGACATAGTTTATTCTTTAAGTGTAGGGGTGTGACATGGTCTTAGGTCATGTTTATAATTTGGTATCTTATTGCCACAAAGAGTTCATTCTATTAACCTCATTTCTATTTTAACATGAATGCTGATCAGTTGTTGTGTCTAAACCACAAAAGGGAGGGGTTATAACGAGCTGCGTCTGACCTTCCATCCTGCTATGGCCAGGAACTCAGTTTTTAAGGTTTCTCTGGGGTCCTCTCGGCTAAAAGGGGGTTCATTCAGTCGGTTTGGGGGCTTTAGATTTTATTTTTAGTTTACAATCACAATGTAATATATTATACAGCAATGAAAATAAATAAGCTAATGCTGCATTGATACATCTCATTAATATAATGTTGAGTTAAAGAAGCCAGTCACATACTATATGATTCTAATCAAATAAAATTTTTAAAAACAAGTAAATTTATGAATTAGATAGAATAGTCATACTTCTGAGGAGAGAAGGTGTTGAGACTGGAAGCATCCTGCAGGTGTCTTCTAGGGTTATGATAATGTATGATAATGTTTGTCTAGGGTTATGATAATGTGTTCTGAATGTCATAGTTCACTGAATGTTACACTTATGATTGTGAACTTTTATATATTTATGTTAGTCTTCTGTTGAAATTTTATTGTAAAAAGGTAACTTTACAATTTCAATAAATACATAAAATACTCTAAAACTAATATACAAAAGATAAGCAAGCTCTTTGTGGAGAATGCTGTGAAACATAATGATGATACAGTGAAGTATACTCACATAAATCAAGACATATGGCATTTATATAGATTGCAATATATAAATTCTATCATGATTTTCTATATATTAATATACATTCTATCAAAATTCTAACAAGATCCTTTCACGTACTCAAATAAGCTGTTGTCGTAACTTGTATGGAAGATCAGTGGACCAAGAATAACCAAACATTTCTTAAGGGAAACAAAGGTGGAGGTGGGATGGATTTTCCTGTCAAATATAAATATATCATAAAATTATATTAAGGCAATTTTTATATTAATGTACAGTCAATCAACAATGAAAAAATAGACTATTCAGGGGCAAATTCATGGACTTGTGAAAATTTGATTTGTAATAAAGTTGGCACCGTATTTTGAATGAAGGGATAAATTGAGTATTCATGTGGAAAGTCTGGCATACTAAATAAATGATAGAGAAATACTGGTTATGATTACCGGAAAAAATAAATTTAGATTCCTACATCACACTACACAAAAATCAGCTTCAGTTGAATTAAGGACATATATAAAAAGCTAATCTATAAAAGTCTTAAAAGAAAATAGAGACAAATTTTTTGTATCTTTCTGGTGGGGTAGGATTTCTTAAACAAAATACAGAAGTGGGATGGCTGGGTCAAATGGTATTTCTAGTTCTAGATCCCTGAGGAATCGCCACACTGACTTCCACAATGGTTGAACTAGTTTACAGTCCCACCAACAGTGTAAAAGTGTTCCTATTTCTCCACATCCTCTCCAGCACCTGTTGTTTCCTGACTTTTTAATGATCGCCATTCTAACTGGTGTGAGATGGTATCTCATTGTGGTTTTGATTTGCATTTCTCTGATGGCCAGTGATCATGAGCATTTTTTCATGTGTTTTTTGGCTGCATAAATGTCTTCTTTTGAGAAGTGTCTGTTCGTATCCTACGCCCACTTTTTGATGGGGTTGTTTGTTTTTTCTTGTAAATTTGTTTGAGTTCATTGTAGATTCTGGATATTATCCCTTTGTCAGATGAGTAGGTTGCAAAAATTTTCTCCCGTTACTGGGTATATACCCAAAGGACTATAAATCATGCTGCTATAAAGACACATGCACACATATGTTTATTGCGGCACTATTCACAATAGCACAGACTTGGAACCAACCCAAATGTCCAACAATGATAGACTGGATTAAGAAAATGTGGCACATATACACCATGGAATACTATGCAGCCATAAAAAATGAAGAGTTCATGTCCTTTGTAGGGACATGGATGAAGCTAGAAACCATCATTCTCAGCAAACTATCGCAAGGACAAAAAACCAAACACTGCATGTTCTCACTCGTAGGTGGGAATTATTGAACAAAGAGAACACATGGACACAGGAAGGGGAACATCACACACCGGGGACTGTTGTGGGGTGAGGGGAAGGATAGCATTAGGAGATACACCTAATGCTAAATGACGAGTTAATGGGTACAGCACACCAACATGGCACATGTATACATATGTAACAAACCTGCACGTTGTGCACATGTACCCTAAAACTTAAAGTATAATAATAATAAAAAAAAAGAAGTGACTAGAGATAAAGAACAATATATTCAAACTTCAGATCATCATAAGACATCATAATGTTAATAAAATTATAAGAGAAAAACTGGGATAAGATAGATAGCTATATATAACTGAAAACAAATTAGCAAGAAATAAAGAATTCCTATAAACCAATTAGAAAACAACCCACAGACCAATAGAAAAAGAAATGAATAAAAGATATGAAAAGGCATTTCTCATATGAGGAGATAAGATTGCCTGGGAGAAGCTGCCCAGCCTCGTTAGTAATCAAGAATTTGTACTTTAAAACTACAATACCACTACTCGAGCTGCTATTTCACCCCTGTAGATTGTCAAAAGTTAAAAAAGTCTGACAATAAGTGTATTGATTAGGATAAGGAGAAATAAAGACTCTACTATATTGATTAAAATATAATTTGGTACAAACACTTTGTTACAGTCAATATTACTTTGTAGATTGACTATGCCCATATCCTATCACCATATATTTGTACTCCCAAAGGCACACATACACAAAGAAATGTAGGAGAACATGATAGTGTTGATAGCAATTGTAAAATTAGGAAACAACCCAAAAGTCCATAAGCCATAAAACAAATAAATTTTACATCATTATACAATGAAATGGTACATAAACTAAATTATATTAATAAATATTAAGAGTATAACTAATTTATAATGCAAAATTATGAATAAAATATAGCTGCACAAATCAAGATGGAAAAATGTCAAATACTTTGAGGAAAATACATTACAGAGGATGCATAATATATTATTATACTTATATAAAGTACAAAATCAGAGAAAAGTAACCATATGTTACATAAAGGTACATATAAGACTTTTAAAACTTTAAGGAAAAGCAGGTAGTGATTAAACACAAACTTCAGGACATTAGAGACCTTTGGAATGAGAGAGTAGAATATATTATGGGAAAGAAATAGGGTCCTCTGTATTTCTGATGTTCTATTTTTCAAACTGGGATTGTGTATACAGTTATTAATACTATTTATGTACATTATTTTGTATATATGATAAAAATAACAGTAACTTTTAAGAAATAAATTAACAACATGCAGGATGTTACATGTGGTAAGAGAGAAAAGGAGTTTATTGTTGACTTTCATTTTTTTTGTTGTTTTTGTGGGTCTGGAGCTTCAGTTTCTTTCCTCCTGGGCTTCTTCACACACTATGCTGCTTGGGCTTTCTCACAACATGGTGCAGGGTTCCAAGAGCAACCATTTCAAGATACAGGCATTGAAGATAGTTTTTTAAAAAAATTTAAGTTGAGGAATACATGTGCAGGTTTTTAATATAGGTAAATTTGTGTCGTGGGGGTTTGTTGTACAGATTATTTTGCCATCCAGCTATTAAGCCTAGTACCCATTAGTTATTTTTTCTGAACCTCTCCCTCCTCCCACCCTCCACTCTCCAATAGGCCCCAGTGTATGTTTTTCCCTTCTATGTGTCCAGGTGTTCTCA